>NC_000017.11:6248686-6400201 GCF_000001405.40 Homo sapiens | reverse complement strand
GTGCCTTAGCCCATGCCACCATTGGCTCCCATCCAGATGCTTACAATCTGCCTCATAATTGGTCACTCTACTTCCACCATTGTTACCTGACAGTCTATTTCAACACAGAAGCTGGAGTGACTGTTTTAAAAGATAAGTTAGATCATGTCACTCTTCTATTCTATTGCAATGCAAATCTCCTTCTCTGGTTCAATCCACTCCAGCCACAGAAGCCTCCTTGGTGTTTCCTGACCTGCTAGGTATGCTCCCTTTGCAGAAACTTTGCATTTGCTATGCATTTGCTTCCCCAGGTATCTGCATGGTTTCCTCCTTCTCCTTTTTCAGGACTTTTGCTGTGGTGCCTTCCCTGACTATCTAAAGCTGAACCCCAAACCTCATCCTGGCATCCCCATTCCCACTTTATTTTTCTCTGTAGCACAATGATCATCTAATATGCTATAGATTTCACTTATTTCCATTATTGTCTGATTTCCTTCTCTAGAACATATGCTGCATGAGGGCAGGGATTTTTTATCTGCTTTATATACTGCTGTGTTCCCGGTGCTTAGAATGGTGCCAGGCCTCTAGAAGGTGCTCAATAAATAACTGTCCAACAATGCATTGCTGACTTTTCTAGGCATCAGTCAGTGATGTTTTCCAGATATTCCTTTGATATTATAAAATTCTTCTCAATATTATTTTCCACATGGTCAATAATTAGATAATTATTGTCTGTCTTTAATGTTTTTCCTTCTGATTCTGGCCCTTTTACAGTCTACTGTTTTAGTCTGGACTAGTTGGTCTTCAGCCTTACTTCCCAGTTGCAATTCTGGGACATCTTTTTGCCTCCTATGTGTTATATTCCTTGTTTCCTGGAGCCTAAGTCTTCCTCTTTCTTGATCTACTCCTTTGTTTGATGTAGTATATCCTCCAGTAGCTTTCTAAGAAAAGGTGCATGGGAGTTGTTCTTATTTTTTGAGATGCTACATGTCTGAAAATGTCTTTATTTTGCTTTCACACTTTGCTGATATTTGGCTGGTTATGGAATTCTAGATTAGAGATGACTTGCAGAATTTTGAAGTGGCTCTTTATGGTCACTTCATTTGTTCACATAATATATTCCTTCCCTAGGGCTGCTGTAACGAAGTATCACAAGCTGGTTGGTTTAAACAACATAAATTTGGCTGGGTGTGGCGGCTCATGCCTGTAATCCTAGAGCTTTGGGAGGTTGAGGTGGGCAGATTGCTTGAGCCCAGGAGTTTGAGACCAGCCTGGGCAACATAGGGAGACCCTGTCTCTACAAAAAATACAAAAATTAGCTGGGCATGGTGGTGTGTGCCTGTAGTCCCAGCTACTTGGGAGGCTGAGTTGGGAGAGCTGCTTGAGCCCAGGAAGTTGAGGTGATTGCTCCACTGCACTCCAGCCTGAGACAGAAGGAAAGACCCTGTCTCAAAAAAATCCAACTGTTTCCCCTCCACCAAAAAAAAAAAAAAAAAAAAAACAAAACAAAAAAAACTAGCAATGTATTGTCTCACAGTTCTGGAGGCTATGATTCCAAGATCAAGATGTCAGCAGGGTCAGTTCCTTCTGAGGACCGTAAGGTAGAATCTGTTCCGTGCATTTCTCCTAGCTGCTAGGGGTTTGCTGCTCTCTTTGATTTTCCTTGGCTTCTGCTGCATCACCCCAATCTCCACCTTCATCTTCACATAGCATCCCCCTGTGTGCATGCC
Organism: Homo sapiens; assembly: GCF_000001405.40. Taxonomy (NCBI): domain Eukaryota; kingdom Metazoa; phylum Chordata; class Mammalia; order Primates; family Hominidae; genus Homo; species Homo sapiens. The sequence goes on along the minus strand of NC_000017.11, from coordinate 6,398,492 downwards.
TGTGTATCGATTTCTCTTCTATATAAGGACACCAGTTGTATTGGATTAGGGGCCCAGCCTGCTCCAATGTGACCTCATCTTAACCAATTACATCTGCAAAGACTGTTTCCAAATAAGGCCTCCTTCTGAGGTATTGGGGTTAAAACTTCAACATATGAATTTGGAGGGAACACAATTCAACACATGACATATACAAAAGTCATTATTATTCTTGACCCTTTGTATGTGACTGTTTTCTTCCTCTTAGGAGTTTTTACAATCTTTATTCTTGATATTCTGAAATTTCATGGTGATATGGTTTGGCTGTGTCCCCACCCAAATCTCATCTTGAGTTTAGTTCCTGTAATTCCCACGTGTCATGAGTTGGACCAGGTGGGAGGTAATTTAATCACGGGGGCGGTGATCCTCATGCTGTTCTCGTGATAGTTAGTGAGTTCTCATGAGATCTGATGGTTTTATAAGGGGCTTTTCCCCCTTTTGCTCAGCACTTATCCTAGCTGTCACCATATGAAGAAGGACATGTTTGCTTCCCCTTCCACCATGACTGTAAGTTTCCTGAGACCTCCCCAGCCCCGCAGAACTGTGAGTCCATTAAACTTCTTTTTCTTTATAAATTACGCAGTCCCAGGTATGTCTTTATCAGCAGCATGAGAATGAGCTAATACACATGGTAACATACTTTGGTGGGCCTTTTAGTTTCCTTGGTATGGGTCCTCAGTAAACCCATTCAATCTGGAAATACTTGTCATTTGATTTGGATAAAATTTCATCTAGAATTTCTTTGATCGTTTTTCTTATGATTTTTTTTTCTGTTCCCTCTGAGACTCCTATCAGCTAAATATTGGCTCTCATAGATTGATATTCTAAATTTTATATTCTTTATTTCTTATTGACCATCTTTTTTCCTGTCCTGTTTTTGGGATGTTTATTCAACTTCATTTTCAAACCTTTCTACTGATTTTCATATTACTGATACTGTATATTTAATTTCTTTTTATTTTTTTTGAGACAGAATTTCCTTCTGTTGCCCAGGCTGGAGTGCAGTGGCACGATCTCAGCTCACTGCAACCTCTGCCTCCTGGGTTCAAGCAATTCTCCTGCCTCAGCCACCTGAGTAGCTGGGATTACAAGCACACGCCACCATGCCCGGCTAACTTTTGTATTTTTAGTAGAGACGGGATTTCGCCATGTTGGCCAGGCTGGTCTTGAACTCCTGACCTCAGGTGATCCGCCTGCCTCGGCCTCCCAAAGTGCTGGGGTTACATGTGTGAGCCACCGCACCCGGTCTTGTATTTTTAATTTCTAAGAGCTCTTATTTTCTGATTACCTCCGTCTTATAAGATCTTGTTCTTGTTTCATGGGAACAATATCTTTATCTCCCTGAGGATATTAATTATAAGGTCTTTGAAGTTTTCCTTTTGCTTCCTGTATTGGTTCTATTTCAGCAGAGGTCCTTTTTCTATCTATGTCTGTTTTGGTGTCTTATATTGAAAAATTTCCCCAAATATCTAGAGATTCTCACCGACCCAAGCATATTTAAGAGCGAGACACTAAAAGGTTGGTTGGCCTCTCTGCAGGTGGGCTAGGCTTGTCGGTGGGGGAGGGGCTTTACTATAGAATAAAGGAGCAGGGGCCCAGCCATCTGGGGGCTTTCAACTTCAGCATCTGGTAGGGGTTTTCTCATGGGTCTTTTATTTTACCAGAAACGAATAATCCAGTATCCTGTTTGGAGATATGTGTTTGGTTGGCAAACAAGCAAGCAGATGGAGCTGGAGAACTTAGCCTTTAGGATGCAGTGTTCCTCACACTGGCCCTCTGACATGCCCGTATCCCTGAGTCAGGAGCTCTCCTGGTCCAATTCCCTAATCAATTGCTTCTACCTTGCAGGGAGGGCAAGCGAGGCCCCTAACTGCTGGGGATGAAGGACGAGACCTGGGAGACACCAATGCCTTTCTTCAGCCTTGGTCTGAGCCACCACCCTCAACGTTACCGGGTGTCCCTAATTCCTGAAACTTCCTGGGGCACGGCGGAGCTAACATTTGCTTGTCATCGATCTTCCCTCTGCAGCAACTGAGGCTTCAGCTCTCTCTTATTTCCTGGGCCAGTTACCACCGTCCCGCCTGTCTCACATTTGCCGTACTCTCTCAGCTGCTCCTTTCTCCTTCTTCCTTCTCTGCCCAGTCATGTTAACGGGGTTTTGGGGAGGAGCAGAGATTGTTGCATCTGGTCGCTGTGGCTGTGCATACTCCTCCCTTGGGCTGGATGCATCCATGGGCCCCTCCATTCTTGTCCACTTCCCTCCGCCCCTTGGGAGGTTGACTCTGTGAGCCTAATCAAGAGGATCCTATGCTTTCTGGCTTCCAGTTGGGTTTGGCCAGAGGCAGGCCTTGGCAGGCGATCAAATGGTGGGAAAATAGCGTGGTCAGGGTTTGCTTCCCCAGCTTCTCCCCTGCTGGCCGCCTTGGGCAGGTTGTGTGTCTTGGTCCCAGCTGAGCAGCCCACTCTCCCTGCAGTTCCCTTCGAAGGCTCTCTCCTCTCGGTGTAGGGATAGGAGGGGCTCCTTATTGTTACAAACCCCAGGGGACAACACTATCCCGTCTTGATTTCTTTTTTTTTTATTATTATACTTTAAGTTTTAGGGTACATGTGCACAACATGCAGGTTTGTTACATAGGTATACATGTGCCATGTTGGTGTGCTACACCCATTAACTTGTCATTTAACATTAGGTATATCTCCTAATGCTATCCCTCCCCCCTCCCCCCACCCCACAACAGGCCCCGGTGTGTGATGTTCCCCTTCCTTTGTCCATGTGTTCTCATTGTTCAATTCCCACCTATGAGTAAGAACACGCGGTGTTTGGTTTTTTGTTCTTGTGATAGTTTACTGAGAATGATGGTTTCCAGCTTCATCCATGTCCCTACAAAGGACATGAACTCATCCTTTTTTACGGCTGCATAGTATTCCATGGTGTATGTGCCACATTTTCTTAATCCAATCTATCATTGTTGGACATTTGGGTTGGTTCCAAGTCTTTGCTATTGTGAATAGTGCCACAATAAACATATGTGTGCATGTGTCTTTATAGCAGCATGTTTTATAGTATACCAATACTATTTTGATTTCTTTTGACTCTTCCCACATCTGTGTAAACAGCGCTCTCACCAGGTCCTCCCACATTATCCCATTGGCTTGTGCCATCGGTTCCCAGTGTGACCCCACTGATCAGCTTCATCCCTCTAGTGCCTCCTCAGCATCCCCATCCCAGCCCCAGTGCTACTCTTCTTAGGGAGTTCCCCTGAACCCTCAAGACATGATTGTTTGCTTTACTTTACTTTACCGTAGAGCCCTCTTTTTGTCCTTTAGTGTGCTTTTTGCTAGGTTTAATAGATGACTGTCTTCTCCACCAGACAATAAGTTCCAGCCTGCAGGGACCATGTTTTGTTCATCCTCAGATCCACAGCCCCTAGCAGAGTGCCTGTGGGGACTTAGTCAATATCGCCTTGGTGACGGAGTGAGTGACTGAGAAGGCCCTCTCCTACAAGAAGCCTTCCACGATCTCCAAGAGGAGAGCCACCTTCCTTGTCTCTCAACATCAGCAGTGATGCCCCCCTCTGCTCTTGTAGCGTTTGCCACTGTTTACCTTGCTTTGTGATTGCTGATGGCCACTCCTGCCCGCTCTCCTCATGCGGATCTCCCTCTGGACAATCCAGATCTCATCCAGTTTGAATCTCCAGTCCTCACACAATGCCTGGCTCATAGTAGGTGCACGGTAAATAGTTGAGAGGCAAATGGTGACTGATTGGAGTTTGGGGACAGACCTTGTTTATCTGGGGAGAAAGACCAGATGCTCCAGGTGGTTTATGTAATCGTCATTTTCTTTGTGAATTCATGATTGTTTTATTTCAGTGTTGCTTTTCCAAAGGTCTGCTTCTCCCCGGACCTGCACAGATTGCTTGAGTCAGGCTGATCAAACGCCTGGCAGCTGTGAGAAGAGGGAACTCATGGCTCAGGGGGAGAAGGAAGATCAAGCTGGCAAAGCTGGAGCCTTGGAAACAAGAAAAATCTCAAGAAGGCAATAGTAACAATGCCATCCTGCAGATGCCACAGGCAGAGAGGGGAGCTGAGCTTGCAGCCCTAAGACTGGAGTTTCCTTTAGGGGAGGCTCAGAGAGAACAGCTTGGCAATGCCACCGGGGGTCCCCGAGACATCACCTTCTCACCACTGCCTGCCCCTGCCAGGCAGCTGTCTCCAAATCCAGCGGATTCCTTCCTCCAGGGGCAAAATGGTAGCAAAAGCCTGGGCTCTGATGTCAAATGGGTCTGAGTTTCTGTTGTGGTTCTGCCACCGCTGGTTATGTGACCTTGGCTTTGATCTCTCCAAGCTGCAGCCCCCTCATCTGCAAAATCGGAATTATAATAACGTTTGCTGCAGGCTGTTGAGAGGGTTAGGTGAGGTCATACATAAAGATTGACTAGTGCTGTGTGTGTGACACATAGGAATTCTCTGCTGAAGGTAAGTCATCGGTGCTGTCTTCCTGTGGTCAAGGGTAGAACACTGAGAACCATGCCTCCATAAATGATGGATTTGATTAAAATTAATGCTATTATCAACCTTTGCCTTTTGGTTCTTATTTTAGCAGCCTGAACCCACGCCCTCATGGTTTTCTCCTCTGAATGCTAAGACTGCCCCATTACTGAGCCCTCACGTCCAGCCGGCTGGAATGAGCTCCCCGTCGCTGGAGGTATTCAAGGAGCAACCTGATGCTTTCTTGTGCTTCATGCTCTGGGTGGGAGGAGTGAGGGTGTGGGTGGTCAGCCCAGATGGCCTCCAGTTAGAAACTGAGGAGAGGTTTGGATCCTGTTAAACCGCGAGCCGGGGACTCCATGTGTCAGCGTGCTGCCTGGCAATTAAAATCGGGAGCATTTAGTCTGAAGAGAGTTCCAGCTTCGTTGTTTGCTCTTTTAATCTTGTCTGTTGCCATGGGAACGGCAAGTGATTGCAATCACCACTGTTTGTATTGTGAGCTTGTTCCCATCAATGCGGCTTTTGAAAAATAAGAAATAAAAATCTTGACTTTGGCATGCCACTCAGTACTATTCAGAACAAACCCCTGAGAAGTTCTGTCCATCGCGTCCTTCCCAACACATGGGCTCTCGTTTGGAAATTCCCACCAGCCTGACTTCCGGCCGGATTTCTTTTCTCCCCTCTTAGCCAGGTGGCTCTGCAGAGGACGTACTCGAAGCACTACCTGCTGGGGCAGATTCTGGGTGAGCTAGAGGTGCAGCTCTCTGCGCTCGTGGGGAACTGGCTACCCAGCTTCCCTCCCTGCGTGACGGCAGAGGCCCAAGGTACTGCCTGGGCCACTCCATTGCCTGCTAGTTATGATTACATTAATAGCTCATAATCACAATAATTACCACTTTCTGAAGATGAAGAGAAAGGGATATTGTCCAGGGTCAGAGTCCTTGCAAAGTGATAGTTTGGGAATAGCAGCTTGTGAATGTGGGTCTGAGGCGTCTACACCATGTTCTGGCTCACAGCAACCAACCTAGCTGCAAAACTCAGCAGCAACCAACCCAACTCCCCCATGCCCCCAGCTCTATCTGGCTGGACAGTCAGGTCCAGAGGTCACCTGCATGGCCTGGAGGGAAATACCCCAGCCTCCTTTGAGTGAACCGCAAATACCTTTGCCTTCCCTTGAAGCCTACAGAATGGGTTATTGAGAGAATGTGAAAATGTTGGCCGAATGCCCAGAGATAATTGATTATAGCATTTTTCTTTGAGTTGAGAAAGACTCCAGAGAGCATCGGCTCCCACCCCCTTGTAACAGCTGAGAATAAACTCCTCAGTGAGGAAGTGGCTTGCCAGAGGTCAGAGTATAAGAGAATGTCTCCCAGCCCCGTCTCTTGATTTTGTGTAAATTCAATCTCATTTGTGAGACATGCTTCAGGGTGTTTCATTTCATAAAGTTTACAAAATTGGAACTCCTTTTATTTGAAATACACACATGCCTTGGACCAATGCTTTTCAGGGGAGATGCCAGTTGGTATAAAAATTTTAAACACGATCGAGACCATCCTGGCTAACATGGTGAAACCCTGTCTCTACCAAAAATACAAAAAATTACCCGGGCGTGGTGGCGGGCGCCTCCAGTCCCAGCTACTCAGGAGGCTGAGGCAGGAGAATGGCGTGAAACCGGGAGGCGGAGCTTGCAGTGAGCCGAGATCACGCCACTGCACTCCAGCCTGGGGGATAGAGCAAGACTCCATCTCAAAAAAAAAAAAAAAAAAAAAAAAAGAAAAAGAAAAAGAAAAAGAAAAAAAGGGCTGGGCACGGTCACTCATGCCTGTAATCCCAGCACTTTGGGAGGCTGAGGCGGGCGGATGACGAGGTCAGGAGATCGAGACCATCCTGGCTAACACGGTGAAACCCCGTCCATACTAAAAATACAAAAAATTAGCCAGGCGTGGTGGCCGGTGCCTGTAGTCCCAGCTATTCAGGAGGCTGAGGCAGGAGAATGGCGTGAACCCCGGAGGCGGAGGTTGCAGTGAGCCGAGATCGTGCCACTGCACTCCAGCCTGGGCGACAGAGGGAGACTCCGTCTCAAAAAGAAAAAAAAAAGTTTTAAACATGAGCTACATTCTAGAAACCCATACTTAGTGGCTACTTTGTTCTCAAGCCAGAGCTACAGGCGAGGAGAAGGGAAAGGACCTCCTTGATTCAAGATCAGTCGTGGCCTCTAGGCCTGGTTCAAGGACCTTCTAGTTGAGTTTCCTTGAGGGATCCACTGCATCTCTCAGGGCTTCAGTATTCTCTTCTGTAAAAGGGGAAGAGTGGAGCTTATCTTGTCCACCTAAGGTCGTGCATGAGGTTTCACATCAGCACATGGGTATAGGTTCACCTTAGAAGCTGCAAAGAATTGTATAGTATTAAGGCTGGGCGCGGTGGCTCACGCGGGTAATCCCAGCACTTTGGGAGGCCGAGGCGGGCGGATCACCTGAAGTCAGAGTTCGAGACCAGCTTGACCAACATGGTGAAACCCTGTCTCTACTAAAAATACAAAAAAAAAAAAAAATTAGCTGGGCGTGGTGGCAGACACCTGTAATCCCATCTATTTGGGAGGTTGAGGCAGGAGAATTGCTTGAACCCGGGAGGCGGAGGTTGCAGTGAGCTGAGATCACGTCACTGCACTCTAGCCTGGACAATAGAGTGAGATTCCGTCTCAAAAAAAAAAAAAAGTTGTATAATATTATGCTGTGGCTATTACTGTCACAGATCCTTAGAGTTAGGTCTTCTGGACCAGAATTCCTCTTACAGACCAAATGTCTACATGATGAATCTAAGTTTTTGCTCTTCTGTTTAGATACAAATAATCCTCCTTTGATATTTTGACATTGCACAGATCTAAGACAGATTCCCTGGTTTAGATTCTAAACCCAACAACTATGGAAAGTGTCCTGCACTAACCCCCAAGGTTCTAGCTTTGTAGATGAGTCACAATTTCATTCATTCATTCATTCAGCAAATACCAGGACCCCTCTGTATGCCTGGCCCTATACTGAGCTCTAGGATTCAATGGTATATAAAACAGAATGGCCCCTGCCCTGTGAAGAAGTCTCTACCAGTTCTCTGCCTCTTCTTTTTTTTTTAAGAGATGGGGTCTTGCTCTGTCACTGAGGCTGGAGTACAAGTGGCCCAATCATAGCTTACTGCAGCCTCAAACTATTGGACTCAGGAGATCCTCCCACCTCAGCCTCCCAAGTAGCTGGGACTACAGTTACATGCCATCATGCTCGGCTAATTTTTAATTTTTTTGTATGGTGACAGGGGTAGGGGTGAGGTCTTGCTGCATTGCCCAGACTGGTCGTCAACTCCTGGCCTCAAGTGATCCTCCTACACCTGATTATAGATATGAGCCACCTGTAATCAGCCTGGTATTTTTGGGTACTTGTTTGAAAGGTAAAAGCCTCAGAAAAAGAGCTGAAATCTTAGGAATAAGATCTTTCTCTTTTTCAATTTAAACTAGACTCTGATCCCCCTAGGGCTGGAGCATCTTTTGAACCCCTGTGTGCCCAGAAAGAGCACAGAAGCTGCCACACACAGGAGACGCTCACTAGGTGTTAGTTGGACCTAAATTCCCAGAGGTAGCTGGCCATCTGATCCCCAAAGATCCACGTTGTCCGCCCACAGCGTAGGTCTGCTGCTAGAAAGTGATGCCCAGTCAGAGACTACGCTTCTCATCTAGATAGCAACATGCAAACATATGTGGAAGTGCTGTGTGACACTCTGGGTGAAGGAGTTTAAGTGGGTGTCTTCCACCCCCTCCTGATCTCCTTTGCCAGTTGGCAGAAGCAAAAGACAGCCCATGGGCCAAATTGGGTTTGCTGCTTGCTTTTGTAAAAAAGTTTTCTTGGAACATAGAGCTGTGTCTATTTATTGCTTGTTTTTTTATAAATAAAGTTTTATTGAAACATTGCCACGCCCATTCGTTTAACGTATAATCTGGCTGCTTTGGCCCTGCAAGAGCAGAGTTGAGTAGTTGTGACAGATGTGATCTGGCCCACAAAGCCTAAAATATTTACTATCTGGACCTTTACAAAAGAGTTTGCCTTGGCCGGGCTCGGTGGCTCACGCCTGTAATCCCAGCACTTTGGGATGCTGAGGCGGGCAGATCACCTGAGGTCAGGAGTTCAAGACCAGCTGGGCTGATATGGTGAAACCCTGGGTCTACTAAAAATACAAAACTATTTAGCTGGGTGTGGTGGCGCATGCCTGTAATCCCAGCTACTTGGGAGGCTGAGGCAGGAGAATTGCTTGAACCCAGGAGGAGGAGGTTGCAGGGAGCCAAGACTGCACCATTACACTCCAGCCTGGGCAACAAGAACGAAACTCCATTTCAAAAAAAAAAAAAAAAAAAAAGTCTGGGCACGGTGGCTCACGCCTGTAATCCTAGCACTTTGGGAGGCCAAGGCGGGTGGATCATGAGGTCAGGAGATAGAGACCATCCTGGCTAACATGGTGAAACCCTGTCTCTAGTAAAAATACAAAAAATTAGCCGGGCGTGGTGGCGGGCGCCTATAATCCCAGCTACTCCGGAGGCTGAGGCAGGAGAATGGTGTGAACCCCGGAGGCGGAGCTTGCAGCGAGCTGAGATCACGCCACTGTATTCCAGTCTGGGCAACAGAGCGAGACTCCATCTCAAAAAAAAAAAAAAAAAAAGTTACCAAGCCCTTTCCTAGAGGATGGTGGAGACATTGTATGGAAGGAACCTGGATCTCTGAATCTTTATGTGGAGAGAAGTTGTCCACCACCTAGGAACACCCATGCTGAATGAGAGATAATCTTCTACTGCACTAAAACCTTAAAGTGTGCATCCTTATTCAGCAGTCACTGGTATCACCCTAACTGATACACAAGCCAGTATGGAGATATGCAGGTGCTCTGTACTGTTGAATTGGTGCTGGTGGTGGTTTCTAGATTTCTTGATGAGTCTACGTTAGAATCTCTGCAGAGCTGATTCCCTAAGGTCATTGGAACAGGAACGTCAGGGACTTCAAGTGGCAGATACAAACTTTACTTGCCTCAACTGTTGTGGGGAGAGTCCTTGAAAGGATAAGGGCAGATGGAGAAACAAGGGTTACATAGCAACCCAGGGACAAGAAAGGTGAACAGCAGCATCTCCTGAGATCTGGAACAGAACGCAGGATGCTGTGGCGAGGAGGGTGAGGACATGTACTCTGGATTCACATGACCCAGGTTTCAGCCTCCCACTTACTAGCTGGGGGATCTTGGGCAAATTTCTTCATTTTTCTGAGCCCGAGTCCTCCGAAATGGTCATAATAACAGATCTGACTTCTGGGATTGCTGTGAGGATTACGTGACCTCCGCCTCTGAAGTGCTTGGCACCGTGATGAATTGCTCATCAGGATGCCTGTGCCGGAGGGGCCCTGGGAGAGCATTGCGCCAGCCTCTCGGTGTACAGAAGGGAAAACTGAGGCCCTGGGAGGCACCACTGACTCTGCCTTAGTCAGCGATGCTAGTGATCCTCCAGAGACCCAAGGAAGATACACCCTGACCCCTTCCTTTTCATCTGCCATATCCAACCGCATCCTGTCCATTTTAGCTCCTGTCCCATCCATTTTACCTCCCAAATTGCTCTTGGATCTGCCCATTTCTGTCCACCTTGTCCCGGCTGTCATTGCTTCCTGTCTGGACTTGCTGCAAACCTTTCTGCCTGTTCTCACTGGAGGCCATCAATGGCTTCCCTAAATCTCTTCTCTTTCTAGAAACCAGAGCAATGTCATTTCTAGATGCACACCTGCTCATGTTACGTCCGCTTTAAAGACCTTCCCAACAGAGATGATGGAGCTTCCTCCTCTGGCTCAGGGACCCAGGGACTCCGCCCTTCTCTCCCACATCCCCCTTCTCACTCTGCTCCACCCTCGTGTGAATCCCCTCGGTTGCTTGTGACTGTCACAACTCTTGCTCTCCACTCCTCCCTGCAGGACTTGATACCGACTGTTCTTTCCTCTTAGAATGTCCATTTCCTGCCTCTTTTTTTGCTTTATGTGTCCTTGTCCTTTAAGTCTCGGATGAAGCAACACTTCCCGGGAAGGTGTATCTGGCCCTGTGGTTGGGTCCTGGCCCCTCTGAACTTACCCGAAGTCACCCAGAGAGGTGAGCAAGGAATGAAGACTCAGTCCCAGACTTGGCCAGGCTCCCTCTGGCTGTGGCCTGGTCCCACCATGGTCACCTCACTGTGGATTCACCCCACAAGCATTGAAGAACACCCGATGCAAGCAGAGAGTGCTGAGCTCCTTGGCTTCACTCCCTGTGAACTCCTACTCATCCTTCAAAGCCCAGTACAAATGTTCCTTCTTCTGCAAAGGCTCTTCTGACTTTCTGACTGCCTGGCCTCCTTGTCCATTGGCGTGCCTGTTTCTTCCTCCTCTCTCTCACCCTGTGAACTCGTTGGGGTAGGAATCCTGACTTATTCATCTCTGGAGTCCCAGTGCCAAGCATAGGGCATGTTGTGGTGTGCCAACCAGAACTGTTACATTGAATGAATGAATGGTGAGTTTTCTGGGTGAGAAGAAGATGAATGGGTCACAGAGGAGTTCACATTGTGGCAGAGAGAGAAGGCCAGGCAGGGGCCAGGCATGGTGGCTCATGCCTGTAATCCTAGCACTTTGGGAGGCCGAGGTGGGTGGATCATGAGGTCAGGACATCAAGACCATCCTGACTAATACGGTGAAACCCTGTCTCTACCAAAAATACAAAAAATTAGCTGAGCGTGGTGGTGCATGCCTGTAATCCCAGTTACTCGGGAGACTGAGGCAGGAGAATCGCTTGAACCTGGGAGGCGGAGGTTGCAGTGAGCCGGATCGCAGGGCTGCACTGCAGCCTGGGTGACAGAGCGAGTCTCCATCTTAAAAAAAAAAAAAAAAAAAAAAAAAGGAAGGCCAGGCACAAGCCACCATGAGAGCCAGCAGATGGGGACAAGTGCCTGGGGGCCAGGCCATGCTTCGGGTTCTGGGTGAGAGAGTGATCTCTAGGAATAGGAAGTCAGGGAAGTTTCCCAGCCAGGGTGGGAGAGCACACACCCCAGGCAACAGTTTACCAATGGTGTTTTGAGGCTCTTGGAATTCTGAGGAGGCGTTCCAGGGGCTGCTGAAGAGGAAGGCGACACTGAGTAACCGGGGTTCCCCACCACTCCGTTCCATCTGTTTGAAAACCTGGGTTTCTATGCAAGAGGTTGTGGGGAAAAAAAAGTTCTAGTGACTTAGTTTTTACAAGTCAGGATCCTTAGAAACAACCCAGGACGGGCGTTCTGGGGCATGTAATTTATCGTGGAAGTCCTCAGAGAAGAAGGGAAACAAGGATGATGAGAGAGGGCAGGGGCAGGAGCCAGGCAGACAGGGGCTCTCAGCTGGCTCTAACCTCAGCCTGACCCTGTGGGGCGCTCTGGAGTGTGAACCACAGTGCACAGCTGGTCTCACCTTGAGACAAGCAGGTGGGCTTTTCAGATCCCTGAGTTAGTCATGCAGTGGGCTGTGGGCAGCATGACTTTTACGCGCAGGTGCATTGGCAGAAGCTCATTCTCTAGAGCAAACTTCTTCTGTTAAGGGCCAGGTAGTGTATATGTTATGCTTTGTGGGCCATATGGTTTCTGTTGCAATGACTCGACTCTACCATTGTACTGCGAACTCAGTCACAGACAATTAAATGAACGGGCGTGGCTGTGTTCCAATAAAACTTTATTTACAAAAACAGGCTGCTCTGGAGAAGGGGGTGCTGTGAGCCATTAGCATCCAATATTCACAGCACTGGCTTTGAAGGGGATCTAGGAGGGCACAAACGGTACCTGTGTCTTCAGCAACAAGATATGCAGACTTCCCTTACTAGATTCTGAAGCGCTTGAGGTTCTGACTGGGTCCTGCCAGCTGAGTGGGTCCCTCTGGCACATGTTCTAAGGGGATCTCTTATTTCCCTCCAGGGTAGAGGCACATAGTAAGGTGGACTGAGATGGAGGAGCATCCTGGACTGCAGAAGGTGGTGCTCTGGGCCGGGCGCGGTGGCTCACGCCTGTGATCCCAGCACTTTGGGAGGCCTAGGCGGGTGGATTACTAGGTCAGGAGTTTGAAACCAGCCTGACCAACTTGGTGAAACCCTGTCTCTACTAAAAATACAAAAATTAGCCAGGTATGATGGCGCGTGCCTGTAATCCCAGCTACTCAGGAGGCTAAGGCAGGAGAATTGCTTGAACTCAGGAGGCAGAGGTTGTAGTGAGCTGAGATCATGCCATTGCACTCCAGCCTGGGCAACAGAGTGAGACCCTGTCTCAAAAAAAAAAAAAAAAAAAAAAAAGAGGTGGTGCTCTGACAGTGCAGCCTTGGGTGGAACAGGAAGGGGGATGAAAGTGTTCTGGAGCATTCTGGGAAGAAGGGGCTGCCAGGTCACCGACCCTGCTGGGAGTGGGGATGAACTGCTGGCTTGAGCTGTCTCTTTCCAAGGCAGCCCATAATCCTCTTCTCTAATATCCAATTTATACATGACTAATATCCAAATTATACATGACTAGGAAAAAGCCACAGAGACAATTTGTTGTCAAAGTGACCAAGTTCACTTTGGGTATGTTACAGAAAAAAAAGCTATTTCCTCGTGTCTAAATCTCATTAAAAAAGCAATTTTGCAATCAATTACAATACAATTTAGCCACTAACTGCCTATATTATACATATATATATATATATATATATATATATATATATATATATAGACAGAGAGAGAGAGAGAGAGAGAGAGAGAAGCAGAAGCAAGTTTGTTTTTCCTGCCCTCATATTTATGAGCCACACTGGAAGAGTTTGTCTTTGGAGGAGCTCTTTGGAGCAGAATGAGTGGCCAGCTCGGCCCAATGACACTGAAAGTTAAACTTTCCAAGCCAATATATTATGTTAGCCCAAGGAGGTGGTATCATTCTGAGCATGGGAGCGGGACAGATTCATTTTTATACAAGAGTTCAGACCTTTCTTGTTCGGTCGTGCACTATAAAAATTGTATAACTCTATGTGGCTTTTATTAAAGGAACATTATTTCTATAAATTATTTTTTAATGCTGTGGAGGAATTTGCCTTCTGGAACCATCTCAGTAAAAGAATTGGGGGTGAAACAGAGACTCGAGTCTACAGAGTGCAGGAGAAATCAAGGCTTGGAGAGAGAAGTGGAGAAGGCTGCCTCTAGGCAGGGCTGCTTTCCCCACAGAGGAGAGGATGTGGGATGTGGAGGGAGGAAGGGGCATCTGGAGCCATGGAGTGGGGAGGGCTGATGCAGCCCCTGCACATCCCTTGCCCGGAGGAAGAGGGGACCAGCTTCCCTCCGGGCTCTGTCCACTGCTCCTTCTGTCCTGGTTCTTGTCCCTGGCAAAGTGCATGGGGCACTGGTTGCCACTGAAGCAGAAGCCCTGGCCGCCGCTGCTGACTCCCTTCCTGCCACCTCCTCTCCAGGCCCATTCCAACCCCTGGATCCTTGGGCTGCTCTCCTCTGCTCTCTGATCCATGCTTGACTCACTCCTTCTGCTCTCGGTGCCTGCCTCCCAGTATCTGTGCCACAGCCATGAGAAACACCCACTGTGGTCCTCTGTCCCAGGGTCTCCCCTTCTGGCCAGGGTAGGGGTGCTAGAGACAGAGGGCCCAAACCTGGATCTTTGGAAATATTCAAGGGACATTTATTTTTGCTTTTTTTTCTGCCTGTCTGGTATCACAAGACACAAAGATATGGCTGTAGCGGGTGTCTTTTTGGCATCAAGTGGCAGAGTGGTTTTGGCAGATCTGCTGTTTGCAGAAGACAAATTGCTAACGTCAGTCTTTTTGTTCTTAAAAATGTCTACATTCATGTTGCATGTGGGCAGGAAGGTGCCTTCACATCATGAAGGGGAATGATGCATTTCAGCCACAGCATGCTGAGAGCTGGATGCCCACAATGCTTCAGCCATGGGTTATGTTCATGGAAATCTTTAAACTTCACATCAAGAAACTCTGCTGTCTGCCCTTGAACTGAGTCTCCACTGTGGCCCCAGTGTGAGCCCAGATTCTGGCTATAGGCTGAGGGCTGATCCTAGGGGTGGGCTGAGTTCTGACCCTATTTCCGGAATGAGCTCTGGCCCTGGCCCAAGACAAAGGTCCAGGTCCAAAGGCAAACCCCGGACTGAGCTCAGGTTTTTGCACGGCCTGAGTTGTGGGCCAGCTGCAGCTGAGGCTCCTCCATCTCACAGGCATATGCCATCATCACAGGGAAGCCCCAGAAGAACATGGCTTCATCCACTGGGACATGACTTGCCCCCAGGTCCTCTGCCTGTGAAGCCTGGATCCTCCTACAAGTGGAGGAAAGAGGACGGAAGCTTCCAAATCCTAAGTGTTGTAATGAAAATGTGTGGAAGGAGGCCTGGAGAGGACGAAGACATTATCTCCAGGGAGAAAGCCATAAAAAAAAGATGATGATAATGATGTTGATGATGATGATAATGATGTTGATGATGATGATAATGATGTTGATGATGATGATAATGATGATGGCTATTACTTACATGGTGCCTACGGTGTGCCAGGTTTGGCCCATATCATTTTCTAGAATCCTCACAAGCAACTCTGTAAAGTTGATACTCTTATTTCCTCCATGTTACAGAGGGATACAATGGCTTGATCAGCGTCTTTCAGTGCCTCAGGCAATACTCAAACCTGGGTCTTTCTAACTTCATATTAGATGCTGTCAACCCCATGCTGCTACCTGAGAATGCCTTTATGCAGACAAATGACGTGGTTGTATTTGCACCTTAGGAAGATCATCTGGGTTGCTGGTGCTCAAGCTGGGTAGATTAGAGGGGGATAGAAGGGAGACAGGGAGGCAGGTGAGGAGGCTGCTGCAGAGTCCAGCCCCCTGTGGATGCAGCAAGGAATCAGAAAAGCAAAGGAGCCAGTGCCCCTGAGTCTGCCTGCTTGAACTGGTCCCAGGATGCGATGCTTCAAGTGGAAAAGGCTGTGAGATCCACACGGAGGCCTGGTGGTGGGTCCTCGGCCTCCGCTTCTTCCACCCTGACAGGGCATATCTAGATGCTGGGCTGGCCTTGACCACTCTGTTTTCACTTTCTCTAATTCCCAATCAGCCTGGCTCTGGGCCATGTGGCAGACAGAACACATAATTATGTATTGATTTCCTTCCAAAGATGCCTGGCCTTGAGTTAACGTGCACTTTCGTGGCCCTACGTACGCACGATCTGAGGAATAAGAGGGTTGGATTTGGAGGGGAAGTCAGAGGAGCCTGGCTCCGGGGTGAGCAGGGGGCACAAGAGGGAAGGCTGCCATTGTCTGTGCTTTGCGGCTGCAGGGAGCAGGGCCTGGTGGCTTCTGGGGGATCCCAATGTGGCCGGAGGCTGGATGGGCGGGTTGGCCATTGGTGGGGGAAAAGGAAACCTACTCCTACCCTTGATCTTTGATAAAGTGAATAGAGAGCCTGTGGGTTGATTTGTCCATCTATCTATCCCTCCATGGTTAGTGCAGTTTTCTTTGAATTCCCCCAGGTGATTCAATTTCATGGTGCTTTGCCAGATGGCATATTCTCCCACTTCCCCAGTCCTCCAGGGACTGTCTGAAATACAGGCCAAGGGCTCTTACCTCAAAATTATATTGAAGTGTTTAATTAACAGAAATGGCTCGGCAACCCATAGATCACACTCTAACTGCACATACCACATGCACACACAGACAGGCCCTCGGCTGAATCCCTTTGCCTCTGGAGACCCGATCACGTCATGCACAGCCATCACATCGAGCTGTGACCTTCCCTCCTTCCTCATGTAAAACTCGCGGTGGCGGGTGCAGCTTTAAAATACTAAATCTTGTGGTATTCCTTGGCCCAGAATCTCTCCACAAAGGCACTAAATTTGTTCATCTTTAAAGTCCAACAGAAGCAATTTCCCCCAAGTTAGCTCCAAAATCTTGGAGTTGGGCAGGGAACTGCCAGCTTCCTATCCTCATGCCCTCAAGGACTGGATCTGCAAGCCCTCGGTAGGGTGGGTTGCCTGGCCTGCCCTCTCCCTGAGGGGCCATAAGACTGAGTCTTGCGTTATTCTGATGTGAGTCAGAAACACTGGGCCATTCACGTCGTGTGTCTGCTGGGAACTCTATCTGCTTCTTTCATTAGTCTTCTCCTGAGCGCCTCCTCTGTTGTACTTCCTTTTCTCTCTGGAACCTCACTGGTGGTTCTCTTGGGTGGTGCTTTTTCTCTGCTGATGCACTGGGGGGAAGTGATCATGCATTATATATCTACATAGGTCTATATCTCTGTTATAACAGCCCCCCATCTGATGATTCTCAACTGGTGGTATGGCCCCCTAGGGAACAACTCAAACTTTAGAGTGTGGCTTTGGTTAAACCAAAGATGGTGGGGTGCCTGGTTTCCTGAAATGTTCTCAACAAATTATCCCTTGTCCTGCTGGATTTCAAATGTCCAGCCAGATATTCTTGTTGGTGTATTCTTGTTCATGCTTATCTGAAACTAGAGCATAAGAACTTTTTGGCACCGTTTTTAACCCATACTGAATAGTGGAGGAATACAGCTGTGGTATAAATCAAGGGAATTTTATATTTTGTTTTGTTCTGAACATTACCAATAGCTCTTCACCATTTTGGAGATCATTACTGAAGATAATGATGTTCATAATATGAGTCACCAGGATAACATTCCTGTGTCACGCTGTGTGTGTCACTCTGCATATAAATATAAGAGGCTGATTACTTCATGATGTCTTCTAGTGCGATTATGCCGAAGCATTTACATATTGAAATACATATTGTTTTATTATAAATGATTTACCTTCCATACCTCTTTTATATTATGGTTAGTGAATGCTTTTATGTTTTTAAGCATTTACATTTAGGTTAGCTCTATTTTCCATGTTTTCATTTTAAGGATAATAAAGGGTATGTATTCATTCATTCTTGCATTGCTGTAAAGAAATACCTGAGAGGCCGAGTGTAATCACAGCACTTTGGGAGGCTGAGGCGGGTGGATCATGAGGTCAGGAGTTCAAGACCAGCCTGGCCAAGATTGTGAAACCCCGTCTCTAATAATAATGCAAAAATTAGCCAGGGGCAGTAGCAGGTGCCTGTAATCCCAGCTACTCGGGAAGCTGAGGCAGGAGAATCGCTTGAATCTGGGGAGACGGAGGTTGCAGTGAGCTGAGATCGCACCGTGCACTCCAGCCTGGGTGACAGAGTGAAACTCCATCTCAAAAAAAAAAAAAAAAAAAAAAAAGGAAACAAAGAAAGAAAGAAAGAACTGAGAGTGGGTAATTTATAAAGAGGCTTGTTCATGGCTCTGCAGGCTGTACAGGAAGCATGATGCTGGTATCTGCTCAGCTTCTGGAGAGGCCTCAGGAAACTTACCATCATGCCAGAGTGTGAAGAGGGAGCAGGCATATCACATGACCAGAGCAGGAGCAAGAGAGAGAGAGAGCAAGAGGACCATCTTTGCTCCACTCCCGTGATGCAATTACCTTCCACCAAGCCCCACCTCCAATACTGGGGATTACAATTCAACATGAGATTTGGGCGGGGGCACATATCCAAACTGTATCAGGGTGCTATGGTAGATTGTTTGATGGCCACAAAATCCTGTTTGCCCTGTATGCACATCCCTTTGCAATGTGACTTTTTAACTCCTTTCATTCAGAGATAAAGTCTATTTTGTGACTAGTGAATAACAGATTATGGCAGAAGGGATGCATTAGTCAGGATTCTCCAGAGAAACAGAACCAACAGAAGACTACACACACACACACACACACACACACACACACACACACACACGGATAGTCCCCTATTTATGATGGACACACACACACGCAGATGGTCCCCTATTTATGACAGACAGACACACACACACGCTGATGTTCCCTTATTTATGATGGACACACACACACAGACACACACACATAGACATACACAGACACAGAGGGATGGTATTCTATTTATGATGGTTTGACTTTATGACGGGATATAACCCCATTGTGAGTCAAGGAGCATCTGGACTTAATGATGGCTTGACTTTCAATTTTTTGACATTGCAATGGGTTTATAGGGGTATGATATTTTCTACTTACAATGAGTTTATCAGGATGTAGCTTCATTGTAAGTTAAGGAGTATCTGTATATGTGTGTATGTGATATATATAATTAATATTAATTGGGTAATATAATTAATTATATATATTCTCTATATACATACATACATACATACATATATTTATATGTGTGTGTGTGTGTGTGTGTGTGTGTATGTATATAGTTGGTTTATGCAATTACAGAGACTGACAAGTCCCAAGACTCACAGTTGGCAAGCTGGAGACGCAGGTATCCAAAGGCCTGAGGTGAAGGACGAGTCTGTCATGTTTCTGTTCAAGTCTGAAGACAGGAAAAAGGCAATGTCTCAGCTCAAAGGTAGTCAGGCAGGAGGTATTCCCTCTTACTTGTGGGAGGGTCACACTTTTTGTTCTATTCAGTCCTTCAACTGATTTTATGAGCCCATCCACATTGGAGAGAGCAATCTGCTTTATTCAGTCTATCAATCCAAATGTTGATATCATCCAAAAATACCCTCACAAACACACCCGGAATAATGTTTGGTCAAAATGTCTGGGCATCCTGTAGCCCAGTCAAGTTGACACATAAAATTAACCATCACAAGGGATATTGTATGATTTTCAAGGTTAGGCCTTAAGATGCCTTGAAGCTTCTGTCTTCACCCTCTTGGAATACTGTCTTGAGACCACCATGCAAGGAAGCTGGTCTAGTCTACAGGAGGTTAACTGAGGAGCCCTGGCTGACAGCCTGACCAACTGCCAGACATGTGAGCAAAGCCATCGTGGCTCTGCCATCTGAGAGAGGCTTCATGGGCCCTTGGGCCTTCCATTAGGGTCTCAGGAGGGCTACACTGGAGGAGTGAAGATTGTGTCCCAGGACTAGGGATTTGCTCTCAGATGAAGGGCAAAACTGAAACAGACCTGCTCTAATAATACAAAACCAAGCCTCTAAGAGTTCAAGGTGATTATCTAGTAATTTAACTTCATATTACAACAAAAATCAGCACTCATCATGGAAAAATATACAGAATCCAAAGTCTATCTACAATGTATTATCCACAATAATCAGTATACAATTAAAAATGGGTAGATACGAAGTAACAGAAAAATGTGATTATTGGCAAAAGAAAAAAGTTGATAGGAACAGATCTCAAAATGACCCACATGTTGGAATTAGTTGACAAAATCTTTATAAACAAGCTAATAAAATACATATGGACTTGATCATAATGATGAGCAGATGGAGAAAAGAAGATAAAAGCAAGCCCAAAGAAAATTCCAGAATTGAAGAGTAAAATATCTAAAATGAAAAATTTACTAATGGGTTTAATATCTCACTAAAGATAGCAAAAGAAAGGGTGAGTGAAATGGAAGACACATCAAATCATCCAATCTGTAGAGAAAAAAGTTAATTGAAATAAAATTGAACATGGTCTTAGCAATTTGTGAGACAATATCAAGTGGCTTATCATATGTTTAGTTAGAGTCCCAGAAAAAAGAGAAAGAGAGTTGGACAGAGAAAATATATGGATGCTATGGTAGCATCCTAATTTTTCCCAAATTTCATGAAGACATAAACTTACAGATTCAAGAAACTCAGCCAACCCCATGGCTGAATACATACAAAGAAAACTGTACTTAGGCACATCATCATCAAACTACTGAAAAGCAAAGAAAGAGAAAAACGTGAAAGCAGAGAGAAAAATACTTTACATGCAGAGAACAATGATACAAATGATAGCTGACTTGCCATCAAAAACAATGGAGATCGTAAGACAATGGAATGGCACCTTTAACACACTGAAAGAAAAAAAGCAGCCAACTCAAAATTCAATATTCTGTGAAAAACACTCTTTTCATATCAAAAACGAAGGCAATATCAAGACATTTTCAGATAAACAAAAGCTGAGCAGACATGCAACACAAAATGCTAGAGGCAGTTCTTCAAGATAAAGGGAAATGGCACCAGGGGAAACTCAGATATAAGAGAAAGAATAAAGAACATTAGCAATGGCAAAATGTAGGTAAATATCAAAAACAATGTTTTTTTTTCTTCTTTTGATTCCTTTGGAAGATAATGACTACTTCAAGGAAAAAGAATAGCATTGTATTATAAGGTCTATAATGTATGAAAATAGGAAATATATGACCAGAACAACACAAATGACAGGGAACGAGTAAATGGAGTTACACTGTTGTAAGGTTCTTTAAGGTTCATTGAAAAAATACTTTGGCTACTCCAGCTCTGTTGGTGTCCCAGGCATCCACATAGTGTGAGTGGCGGGGATCAGCTGTAGTGGGAGAGGGAGAAGAGGGCAGGGGGCCAAGGAGTCCCTACAGCAGATCCTCTGCCTGGGACTGAGGTGGTACTTGGGTTTAGGGTAGATCCCCCAAGGAGAGACTACAGGACTGTTCACCTCTTATTGCCCCAGAGAGCAAATAATGTACTACCATTTACTGGTGGAAAGCCATCCCCAGGACTCCTGGTACAGCTAAGAACGCAGCACGAAACCTTTATCTTGTTTGCATCAGCATAACCTGCTTGGAACATGAAATAAAACTTCTCCCCGGCACCTTATCACTAATAGGATCGGGCATTTCAGCAGGGCATGGGGAGCTGCCACGCACACGCTCAGCATGCCTGGGAAGGTGCGGTTGCCAGGCTGCAGCTCAGTTAGCTGTGGAATCTGTCTCCAGGAGAGAAGCTTTCCTATTCAGGAGGGAAAAAATCCTCCGGGGCCACTTCCTTCCCTCTGAGGCAGGCATTTTCTCAGCGTGCCCCACTGTCTGGAGGTCATGAAGGGCGTGGCATCCCCCAGCTGGGTCCTTTTGTCCCCCACCTACAGCTTCAGGTAGGGGCTGGGGCTCCAGCTGCAAAGCCCTGACTCGAGAAAAAGGCACAGGCAGATCCATTTCCAGGCTCCATCGGGCTTTCACCTCCTTCCTCCGGAAGCTTCTCCCATCATAGGTAGCACATACCTCACATGAAATGTGGATTTTTTTTTTTCTTTCTGTAAATAAATTGAAGATGTGGCCGGGCGCGGTGGCTCACGCCTGAAATCCCAGCAGTTTGGGAGGCTGAGGCGGGCTGATCACCTGAGGCCAGGAGATCGAAACCATCCTGACTAACATGGTGAAACCCCGTCTCTACTAAAAATAGAAAAAATTAGCCAGGCGTGGTGGTGCGCACCTCCAATCCCAGATACTCAGGAGGCTGAGGCAGGAGAATCGCTTGAACCCGGGAGGCGGAGGTTGCAGTGAGCCGATATTGCGCCATTGCACTCCAGCCTGAGTGACAGAGCGAAACTCCGTCTCAGAAAAAAAAAAAAAAAAAATTGAAGATGTTTGATAATTTTGCTTTGCTTTTGAAATGATTTGGTCACAGTAACTAGTCTAAGTTAGTGTTGGTCAGCTTTTCTCAGGCACCCTTAGGAATTCTGCAAGGTGACGAAAGCAATTCTAGAACATGGTTTTCAAATGTAAGGACGTGTTCTACGTATTCTACATGTCACCATTCAGGAAGCCAACTTGTCGTACTGTTTTTTGTTTGTGTGTTTGTTTTCCAGACAGAGTCTCACTCTGTTGCCCAGGCTGGAGTGCAAAGGCGTGATCTTGGCTCACTGCAGCCTCTGCCTCCTGGGTTCAAGTGATTCTCCTGCCTCAGCCTCCCAAGTAGCTGAGATTACAGGCATGCACCATCACGTCCAGCTAATTTTTGTATTTTTAGTAGAAACGGGATTTCACCATCTTGGCCATGCTGGTCTCGAACTGCTGACCTCAGGTGATCTGCCCACCTCAGCCTCCCAAAGTGCTGGGATTACAGGTGTGAGCCACCGTGCCTGGCCTCATTGTGTTCTTTTGTAATCTTTAATTGAACATTTTACTAAATATGATTTTGCAGTTTGCTTTTCGTATTTTGGAACCAATTGTTCTTTTTCAGGCCCTACATATTTTATGGGCCCTCACCAGCTCTTCCCCTATCATGCCTGATACTTAAAAAGATCTTTTTTATTATTTATTTATTTATTTATTTTTGGAGAGAGAGTTTCGCTCTGTCGCCCAGGCTGGAGTGCCCAGGCTGGAGTGCAGTGGCACGATCTCGGCTCACTGCAACCTCCACCTCCCAGGTGTAAGCAATTCTGCTGCCTCAGCCTCCCGAGTAGCTGGGATTACAGGCGCCTGCCACCACGCCTGGCTAATTTTTGTATTTTTAGTAGGGACAGGATTTCACCATGTTAGTCAGGCTGGTCTCGAACTCCTGACCTCAGGTGATCCACCCGCCTTGGCCTCCCAAAGTGCTGGGATTACAAGCATGAGCCACCGCGCCTGGCAAAAGATCTTTAATACCTATGGATGAAGCCTGGAGGCCTTCCTGTCTCTTTTCTGCCACTTGTTAACTGTGTGGCCTTGGGCAAGGCCTTGGTCCTTTGGGGGCTTTCTTCCCTCAGTGGGACAGTGGGGAGTGGGATGCAGTAGATACTGTATCCTCCACTGGCAGGTGTTCCTTTTCGGAATAGGCTGGCTGGCAGGTAAAGCCAAAACCAGGTAAGTCTAGATCTTTGACATAGAGTTTCTGGGGTCAGATTCCCCCTACTTGGGAAGTGAAGGGTTAACCAGGCCGGAGTCTGAAGCCGGGAGCTGGGACCTGCCGGGACCTCCCCTCCGTTGCTGAGCAACAGGTGCCTTTTCTGTGCAGTGACTCAGACGGGAGTGGGGTTTGTGAGTGGGCTCCAGCCACACACGACTTCGTGCCTGTGACGTTGGCTCCTCCATCCGCCTCTTTCCTGGAGTGCAGCCTGAGTCACAGCTCGAAACTTCTCCCACCTTCTCCGGGTGGAGGGGGCTTCCCCAGTCTTGGGGTGCGCACCTCAGGCAACGACCCATCCCTCACTCCCCTGTGCTGGGACTGCATGGGAAGGTAAGCAACTAAGTGCTGCAAACAGTGTAGGGGCTGTCAGAGCTGGAGCTTCCCTCCAACCCTCCCAGGGTTCTGAGGGTTCACAAGAGACAGCCCCACTGCTTCGCCCTTGATCTTAGAGCCCAGAATCTCCATCACCCACTACTCTTTCCAACTTTTCTGTGTCCAGCCATGCAGGACTTCCCAACCCAGTCTCCAAACATCTGCTTTCTTGTTCCAAGCTTTTGTGGACACCATTTCCTCTTGCTTTATTCCTCTGGAAATGGCTTTTGGGAATGCTTCCTCCTCCAGCAGCCTCCTCCTTTTCTCTGTGCTCAGCCCTGCCCTGTGTCCCAGCCTCATCTCCTGCCTTGCTGTAAACCTTGGGGCGGCCTCACTGTATCTGCCTTGGAAGGGCTCTCCAGTAGATTCTCTGGGCAGCAGACAGTTGGGTGTGACAGATGCTGCTGCTATTTGCCAAACCTGTTTTTCCTCTTCTTCCTGGCCACACAGCTGGACTACACTCCTCAGCCTCCCTTGAAGTTGCAGTGAACTTATGATGGTTTGTTCTAACCACCGTAATGTGAGTAAAAGTTATGTTATGTGCACTTTCTAGGCTAAGACTTCCCCTTTCCCTTAAAAAAAATCAATGTTATCAACACAGAATTTACATACAATGAAAAGCACCCTTTGAAAATGTACAACTTGTATATCCCCAATACCAGCTTGATGAATACCACTACTAGCACAATCAACCTATTGAACATTTCCGTGACCCCAAAGGGCTTTCTCTTGCTTCACTGTAATAAATCCCTCCCACCCACAGGTGACTGCCTGATCCACTGTATGTTATCGTAGATTAGATTTGCACATTCACGGATTTCATATACATAAAATCATACAACATGAAGTGGTCTGGGCTGGCTACTTTCGCTTCACATGTTTTAAAATGCATTCATGTTGTTGTGTATATCTGTGGTTTTTACCTTTTTAGGCTGGGATTACAGGCACCCGCCACCACGTCCAGCTAATTTTTGTATTTTTAGTAGAGATGGGGTCTTGCCATGTTGGCCAGGCTGGTCTTGAACTCCCGACCTCAGGCGATCTGCTCACCTCAGCCTCCCAAAGTGCTGGGATTACAGGCATAAGCCACCATGCCTGGCCTCTTTGTGGTTTTAATTTGCATTTCCTTGATGACTGATGATGTCAAACATCCTTTCATGCACATCTCCTTTTGTGAGTGTCTTAAAATCTTTTGCCACTGAATTTGGGGGGGGGTCTTATTGAATTCTAGGGGTTCTTTATATACTGTGGATGCAAGTCCTTTGTTTGGTATGTGAATTACAAAAATGTTTTCTTTTTTTTTTATAATTTTATTTTATTTTATTTTATTTATTTATTTTTTTTGTTATTCAGGAGTTCAAATTTATTGGATTTTTACAAAATACATCTTCAGAAACTTTGTAACATCTTCATATATGCCACATATATTAGATGATTTTTAACTTTTTTTTTTTTTAATTATACTTTAAGTTTTAGGGTACATGTGCACATTGTGCAGGTTAGTTACATATGTATACATGTGCCATGCTGGTGCGCTGCACCCACTAACTCGTCATCTAGCATTAGGTATATCTCCCAATGCTATCCCTCCTCCCTCCCCCCACCCCACCACAGTCCCCAGAGTGTGATATTCCCCTTCCTGTGTCCATGTGATCTCATTGTTCAATTCCCACCTATGAGTGAGAATATGCGGTGTTTGGTTTTTTGTTCTTGCGATAGTTTACTGAGAATGATGATTTCCAATTTCATCCATGTCCCTACAAAGGACATGAACTCATCATTTTTTATGGCTGCATAGTATTCCATGGTGTATATGTGCCACATTTTCTTAATCCAGTCTATCATTGTTGGACATTTGGGTTGGTTCCAAGTCTTTGCTATTGTGAATAATGCCGCAATAAATGTTTTCTTTGTGGTTTGGCTTTTCATTTTGTTCATGTTGTGTTTTGAAAAGGAGAAATATTTCATTTCGATGCAGTCCAATTAATTGGCGTGTCAGTTTTTTTCTTTGATGGTGTGTTTTCGTCGTGTCCTGTTCTAAGACATCTTTGTCTGCCCTAAGGTTGCTGGGCTAAAACGTTAAAAAAAGCAGATATGTCCCTCCTGCCTCCTTCTTTTTTTTCTCTCTGACTGGAAGCAGATGACAATAAGGCCTTAGAGAATAGAGAAGCCAGAAGATAAAAGGAGTCTGGGACTGAAAACGCTGCACGAAGGAGGACCACCTTCTCTGGACTAGGTATTTGAGGCAGGAATGAACATCTATTGTGTTTGAGTCATTAACATATTGTGGGTCTATTTGTGATGGTATCTTAGCCTGCCCTGGAACTTACTATTTCTCCAGGTGTGCAGATACTGTGCCCAGGAGTCCCTGCTGAAGGTATTGCCACTGATTGAAGGGCTATCACCATTCAACACTCTTCCTGCTCCTGCACCTAAGCTTTCTCACTTTCCTTCTCTGAAAACCCCAGACAATGAACTCTAAGGCAGATGTGTGCATATCTTTATGGAAGTGTTAAGGTATTAGTATCTCAATGGCACTGGGCTGGGGCTGGGAGGATCAGTGCTATGACTCCCTTGCTCTCTTGTCTACCCAAAGTGAAGAGGGCAAAACCTCCACTCAACCTAGTATTCTTCTTCCTTCTTCTTCCTTCTTCCTTCTCCCTTCTCCCTCTTCCATCCTCCCGCCTCCCTCCTGCTGCTTCTTCTCCTCCTCCTCCTCCCCATTCTCCGCCTCCTCCTCTTCTTCTTCCTCTTCCTCTTTCTCTTCTTCTTCTTCTTCTTCTTCTTTCTTCTTTTTCCTTTCTTTTTGAGATAGGGTCTTGCTGTGTCGCCCAGGCTGGAGTGCAGTGGCACTATCTTGGCTCACTGCAACCTCCGCATCCCAGGTTCAAGAGATTCTCCCACCTCAGCCTCCAAAATAGCTGGGACTACAGGCATGCGCCACCATGCCCAGCTAATTTTTGTATTTTTTAGTAGAGACGAGGTTTCACCATTTGGCCAGGCTGATCTCAAATTCCTGACCTCAAATGATCTGCCCACCTCAGCCTCCCCAAGTGCTGGGATTACAGGCTTCCGCCACCATGCCCGGCTAATTTTTGTATTTTTAGTAGAGACGGAGTTTCACCATGTTGGTCAGGCTGGTCTTGAACTCCTGACCTTGTGATTCACCACCCTCGGTCTCTCAAAGTGCTGGAATTACAAGTGTTAGCGACTGCGCCCGGCTCTTTATCTCTTTTACAATTTATTTTATTTTATTTATTTTTCTTTTTTTGAGATGGAATCTCGCTTTGTCACCCAGGCTGGAGTGCAGTGGCATGATCTTGGCTCACTTCAACCTCCACCTCCTGGGTTCAAGCGGTTCTCCTGCCTCAGCCTGCTGAGTAGCTGGGATTACAGGTGCCTGCTACCACACCCCGCTAACTTTTGAATTTTAGTAGAGACGGGGTTTCATCATGTTGGCCAGACTGGTCTCGAACCCCTGACCTCAAGTGATCTGCCTGCCTCAGCCTCCCAAAGTGCTGGGATTATAGGCTGGAGCCAATGCACCCCGCCAATTTATTTTAAGTTGTTTTTATTAACTATAAGTTGTTTTATGTATGTGAGTAGAAACAAAATAATCTTTATTAATATTTATAAACTAGATAGAAGGTATAAGAAATATTGATACAATGAACACTTTTATACCACCACCTAATATAGGGAAAAAGATTACCAATACCTTCAACATTTCTTCTTTGCCATTATCACTTCCCATTCTCCTCTGTCCCCCTCGTAGGTAACTACTCTCCTGAATTTTATGTTTATCGTTCTCTAGCTTTTCTTTACAATTTTACTACATGCTTGTATCTTTCAATTGTGATATATGGTTTATACCTTCAGTAGCAATGTATGAACATATTGAGGAGTAATTTACATATACATTTCCGCCATTGTGAAGGCATAGTTCGATGATTTTTCGTACATTTATAGAGTTGTGCAACCATCACCACCATCTACTTTTAGAATATTTTCATCTCTCCAAAAAGATTCCTTGTGCTCATTCTCCATCATTCAAAAAGTACATTCCAGCTTCCAGCCTGATAGAGTTTTGGTAGATGGCATACCCAAGGTGCGGTTGAGGTGTCAGCTTGGAGGTGGCCCTCTACAAGGATGGAATGCCGTCTTGTACGACAATTAAAAGGATACATGGGTCCAGAAATCAAGCAGTGGAAGCAGAAGTGGACCCACTATAATTCTCATGGATCCACTGGAGGAATAAGAAGCCTGGCCATTTGGGCCCCAAATGAGACATGTCTGAACAGCCACATATACCCAGGCTAGACTGTGACCGCACTGCCTTCCAGCTTCTTTCTGCCCAATCCTGCTTCTTTCCCCTCTTAACACAAATGTAGGTCTTTAATAAATACCCCACTTGCCAAAAAAGAACACATTGTAGTGGGTATGAAAGATATCTCATTGTGATTTTAATTCGCATTTCCTGAAGAAAATTGATACTGAGCATTTTTCATGTCTTAATGACCATTCATATATCTTCTTTTTTGGAATGTCTTTTCAAATCTTTTGCCCATTTTTAAAGTTGTGCTACTTGTGTTTTTGTTGATTAGTAGGAATTCCTCATATATTTGGAATATGAGTCCTTTGTTAGAGATACACATATTGTGATATTTTTCTCAGTGTGTGGCCGGCCTCCTTGTTCATTTTATTAATGGCATAGTCTGATGAGCAGAAATTTAAATTTTCATTAATTCCATTTGTTAATTTTTTCTTTTATGATGACTGGCTTCTGTGTTCTAAGAAGTCTTTGTGTATCCCAAGTCTCAGAGATATTATTTTATGTTTTCTCTGGAAGATTTCTGGATCTAGCACTATGTTTAGCTTTATGATCTTCTAATACATTTTTGCATATGGAGTGAGGTAGGAGTTGAGATTCTTTGTTTTTAAATAGAACTAGGCAGTTATTCTGACACATTGTAACAAGCCTTTCCTCTCCTTTATTGAATTGGCTTGGCTAAAAATTAATTGACTGTGTGTGGGTCTATTTTTGGACCTTGTATTCTGCTCTCTTCACCTATTCTTACACCAAAATCATACTGATTTCATTGCTGTTACTTTATAGAAAGATTTGATATTAGTTTAAGTCTTCCAACTTTGTCTTTTTTGTTTTGGCTACTCTAGGTACTTTGCATTTCCATATATATTTTAGAACCAACTTGTCAATTCAAAAACTCCTCTTGGAATTTGGGATTGTGATTGATAGATCACTTTGGGGGCAAATGACATCTTAACAATATCAAGTTGTTTAATCCACAAACATGATATATTTCCATTTTAAAAGTCTTTTAAATTTCTCTCAGCAACTGTTTTGTAGTTTTCAGTACAGTGCTTTTGCTCCTTATTAATTAGAATCATACCTAGGTATTTGAGTTTATTAATTTTATTGCAAATGACAATTTAAAAACATTTTATTGCTTGTGCCTGTAATCCTAGCACTTTGGGAGGCCAAGGCAGGAGGATTGCTTGAGCCCAGGAGTTTGACACCAGCCTGGGCAATATGGCACGACCCCGTCTCTACAAAAAATAAAACTAAATAAAATTAGCCCAGCATGGCAGTATGCATCTGTGGTCCCAACTACTCAGGAGACTGAGGTGGGAGGATCACCTGAGCCAGGGAGGTCAAGGCTACAGTGATCCCTGTTTGTGCCACTGCACTTTAGCCTGGGTGACAGAGCAAGATCCTGTCTCAAAAAAAAAAAAAAAAGTTTTTATTTTCCATTTTTTGGTGGCTATTATGTAGAGCAATAATTGATTTTTTAAATATAATGACATTGTATCCTGTAAGATTCATAAATACAATTATTCTAATATATTTGTGAAGATTCCAGAGTATTGCATGAATATAACCACGTTGTCTGTGAATACAGCTTTACTTTTCAATTTCCAATATTTATGACTTTTACTTAGTTTTCTTGTCCTAGTACACTATCTACAGCTTAGTACAATGTTCAAGATATTATCTATTAACATTGTTATTGATCTCATAAGAAAAGCATTCAATGTTTCACAGTTATGTGGGATATTTTTAACTCTAGATATTAATAGATGCCTTCATCAGATTAAGAAAATTCTACTCATAGTTTTTTTGTGTGTGTGTGAGATGGAGTCTCACTCTGTCGCCCCGGCTGGAGTGCAGTGGCACGATCTAGGCTCACTGCAAGCTCCGCCTCCTGGGTTCACACCATTCTCCTGCCTCAGCCTCCCGAGTAGCTGGGACTACAGGCGTCCACCACCACACCCGGCTAATTTTTTGTATTTTTAGTAGAGACAGGGTTTCACCGTGTTAGCCAGGATAGTCTTGATCTCCTGACCTCGTGATCTGCCCACCTCGGCCTCCCAAAGTGCTGGGATTACAGGCGTGAGCCACTGCGCCCGGCCGGCCCCTCATAGTTTTTTTTTTTTTTAACTGTAATGGGTATTGAATTGGCCCAATGTTTTGTCTGAATTATATTATTTTTCTCCTTTATTCAATCAATGTTGTGAATTACATCGATCTTTTTCTCCCTTATTCTGTTAATTTTGTGAATTTCAGATTTTCTCAAAAATTTTTCAACTTGATTTGTTTTATTTTCCAAATGTTAATCAACTTTGCATTACTGTGATAAACACAACTTTGTCAGGTTATATTATACTTCTCTATACTGCTGTTTAATTTGCTAGTAGTTTAACAAGGGTTTAAAAAATCTCTTTAATTACGAGAAATATTGGTCTGTAACAATCTTTTCTAATATCTTTGTCAGTTTTTGATGTCAGGATTATTCTGACTTCATTAAATGAGTTGGAAAATATTTCCTTCTCTTTGACTTTCAGAGTTTGTTTAATACCAATTTATTATATCTTCCTTATATGTTTGATGAAATTCACTGGTAAAGCCACTTGGACTCAGAATTTTCTTTGTGGGAAAGTTGTTGACTATGAATTAAAATTACTTAATAGATGTAGGATGATTTAGATTTATAATTTCATGTATTTCATTTTTGTGATTTATCTTTTCCAAGGAGTTTGTCTGTTTTGTCTAAGTTGTCAATTTATTGACCTAAAGTTGTTCATAATATTTTGTATTGTTTTTTAATAGATATAGGATCTATAGTGATATGCCATATGTAATTTCTCATATTGGTAATATGCGTTTTCTGTTCTTTTTTTCTTTTTTTGGCTTATAAACATCAGAAATTTAATTTCTCATAGTTCTAGAAACAAAGTAGAGTCCAGGATCAATGTGCCATCAGATTGAGTGTCTGGTGAGGGCCCATTTTCTGGTTCATAGATGATCTCCTTTTTTTCTTGGCTAGTCTTCTTCAAAGGGTCTGTCAGTTTTATTAATCTTTTCAAAGAAAAGATTAATTGTCTATCTCATTTCTATATCATCGATTTTCTGTCTTCTTATTGTTTTCCATTTCCTGTTTACACTGAGTTTCATTTGCTCTTCTTTTTTTGTGTCTGAAGGTGGATGCTTAGATCTTTGATTTTGTGCCTTTTTTTCTTTATTAATCTAGGCATTTAAAGATCCAACTTCCCTTCTAATCTCCACTTCAACCATATCCTGCAAATTTTGATATGTGTTGCTTTTATTGTCATTCAGTTTGAAACACTTTCCAATTTCCCTGTGATTTCTTCATTGATCTATGAGTTATTTAAAAGTGTTTTATTTAATTTCCTAATATTTGGTGATTTTCTAGATATCTGTTATTACTTTTTAATTTAATTCCACTATAATAAAATAACTTGTATGATTTCAGTCTTTTAAAAATTTTTGAGACATGCTTTTCAGCCAAGTATATGGCCAATGGATATTCCTTGCTACCTGAAAAAAATGTGATTTCTGCTGTTAGATAGAGAGAGCTATAAATGTCAATTAGGTAAAATTGGTGGATAGTATTAATCAAATCTTCTGTATTCTTACAGGTGTGATGAGTTTGAAAACATATTATGAGGATATATTCTGTTTTGGAGTGGTTGGCTGGTGCAAGTTTATTTGCTGGGAACTTTGTTTTGTTGTAAACACTTAAGGCCATGTATGTCATAATGAGAGTCTGTAGAACTCAACAGGTGAACAGAGACAGCGTGGCTAAGATTATTTGACTTGTTTAATTCAACTAGTTGCTGTGGGCCCACTGTGTGCCTATCCTATTTCTGGGGAGCCCAAGGAGAGAGGATCAGCTTTCACTGGCAGACAGTCTACTGCCCTGTAATTAAGCATGCCTAGTGTCACTTTTCTTTAGAACTGAATATGCTCCGTGAGAGGGGATGTGCTCTGGTGCCTTAGGGAACTTGATTGCCTTGGCACGGAGCATGCCCAGTGGGTAGTACACTTGGAGGGGGACTGAGCATGCTCAGTGGGTTGCTCACCTGTGGACTGAGCATTCTCAGCAGGTAGTTCTCCTGAGTACTGAGCATGTGCAGTGGCTAGCTCAACCAGGGATTAAGTATTATGCATGCTGTTTTTAACTGCTCAGCTCTAATACTCAATGCTGCTGCCCTGTGTGACTGTTGGTGCCCAGAAGTTAAATCACAAAATGTCAGAGTTTTGAGTCATCAAAACCAAACCATTCATTGTACAGATGGGGAACCCACAGCTCAGAGAAGATTGAGGAATTGGTCAAGATCATACAATAAGTCATCGTCAGTGCAGGAATAAGTTGCTGTCCTCTCTCTTCTTCATGGCTTGGCCTACTGCAGTATTTCACTCTTTGGCTGGAACCTCAGGTAATCCACTATGGCAACTTTGCATGGGTGATCACATAAAGAGGATCAAGATGCAAAGATTTTTCTCCTCTGGCTTCTCTTTTCAGACATGCTTCTCCCTTTTCGGGATCCCTGGTAGGAGAAGAGGTGAAAAGAGTGGCGAAGGTCCACGGCCCACTTTGTTTCTTGGTAGCACTGGCTACTCAATGAGTTGTTTCCTTTAAGGACTGACTTATTTAGGGCTAAGGTCAGAGTTTAAGGAAAGCAGCAGAGGGGAACTCTACCCAAGGATTTGTGGTTTAATGGCCCCGAGCAATTGGGAAGGCAAGGAGGAGAGGAAAATCCTCCAGAAGGGAATGAGTAATTGTGTATAGAAATTATATTGAGCTTGTTGCGAAATGTTTGCAAACTGCCACGTATCGGCGGGTGAGCGTGCGTATGTGAGTGTTTTAGTTACAGCAGTTTATTTGGCCTATCTCTCAATGTGTCAGGAAGTGGTGTTGCCACAAGGGTCTGATGGTTTGTGTTTTCTGCTTAAGGAAAATGTAAATTATCTGGCCCATTAATATCTGGGTGCTCTAATCTGTTATTAGAGGAGAAAAGTAAAAATTCTGCACCAAGATGAATGTTTACTTTTAAGGTGATTAATAATGCTCAGCCACTGTGCATTCATCACTCTGCCAGCGGCTTCTGCAGGGAAAGCAGGAAGGAAACAGACTGGAAATACTGTGCACCGCTGCTCAGTGCTCACGCGAATGACACCTTCTGTCATCTCCCTCCTCCAGAACCTTCACTAGCTCCCTATTGCCTTCGTTATAAAGGTCGAACTTGTATCCCTCAGTGAACAGACCATATCCTGCCTGCCTACTGGAGCAACTATGATGTGCCTCTCCCTGCACTGTGGGGGAGGCAGGAGAAGAGGAAGAGGTGCTTCTTCCTAATGGAGAATTTTCTGTTCATTGGGGGGTGATAAGGAAAGCTCCTGGAGAAGCATCAGTGCCCAAGGTAAGTGAGAAATCAGGTGTTAGGCTGATGGGGCGGACTGCAAGAATCATCAGAGCCAAGAGAGGGAGAAGTCTGAGTTGGGTTGGGTTGTCAGGAAATGATTCCTGGAGGAGGTGGGCTGCAGCTGGGCCTTGGGAAATGAAAAATTTGTGGACAGCCCCAATCACAGGTACTGACCATTAAGCACCGACTTTATGCCAAGCACAGTGCTAGGAGCTTCTTGTATATAACTGTGACTCCGCCCCACAGCCCTGCAGGTGGGTATTGTTATCTTGTCTTTGTGGATGAGAAAAACAGGCTCAGACAGCTGAAGACACCTACCTGGTGTCACACAGTGAGTGAGGGGCAGAGCCAGGGTGAACAGGCCAGATTGGGAGGCTCTGAAGGCCGTGAGTCTGAATTCAGTGCTTCTCTCACCATTCTAAGCAGGAGGAACTCTCAGGAAGCAAACGACCTGGACAGAGTGTGTAATAGTAAGTGTGTAGGGTAAGGTACCACATGGGCAGAGGCTGGCCTGCCTGGAAGAAAGGAACCTGGAAGGATGACCCCCTGAAAAGTTATAGCTGGTCCCATCTCAATCTAGATGTAGAGATTCTTCCTTTTTCTGTTTTAATTAAGCTACCTTGTTTCTGGGGGTTAAGAGTTGTTCCTGCCAGAATCTAGTGTGCCCCTCTACTGGGTGCTCCTTCTGCTGGTTTCAAAGCCACCCCTGATTGCGAGTTGCTCCAGGGAGCTTACACTGACCAAAGGGAAGGAGTCTGCCTACAGAACAGTACTAAGAGGCTTCTGCCTTGAGAGCAAACCCTTTATTATGGATAGACCTGCAGATTGCATGTTTTTATAATTTCCCAGAAAGTAAATTTTACGCTCTGCTAAGATCTAAATGAACTGGTGCAAATGCCTGGACTTCCTTCTGCCTCTGGCGAGGTGAGGTCTGCAGGGCTGGAGAATGTGCACGTGGGTCTGAGAGCGAGCTCTGCTCCGGAAGGGGCGAGGGCAGAGCAGTACGTGCGGGACGGAAAATAACTTCTTTTCACCCAGGGTCCTTACGATGATGTCTTTGCTCCTAGGATGAAGGGTATTATTTCTCAATGGGGATCACTTTTGGGAACCTCTGAGCTGGTAAAGGGGCTAATACGAAGGCTTCCATTTGGGCATATGAGAAAGCTTCATCAGGGAGGAGGCATGACCTCGTTGGAAGATCAAAAACTACATCTATAGTTAAAGGGAGATTCTGTCTGGAGTGACTGGGATGAGACATTGTGAGGTCTGGAGATGTGCAGTGGCTGGAACCTGGGGCGTGTGGGGGCAGAGAGAGTACTGAGACCTGGCTGAGGGGTAGGCAGGGCCCCATCATAGAGGCCTTGAATGTAGTCCAAAGGATTTGTCATTTTCCCCCTAGTTTTTTTTTTAACTTTTATTTTCTGAATTATAAAAGTAATACATATTTATCATGGAAAAAAGTTAAAACTTCAGAAACATCTGATAAAATAGAAACTTAGAAGCCTATTATTTCACCATCTAGAATCACTGTTGTTAGCATTTTTGTTTCCTTTGTTATTTTTTCTATAAATTGTTTAGATTCTGAAGGTCGTATTACATATACAATTTTACATGCTTCTCTTTCAGGGTTTTTTTTTTTTTTTTTTTTTTTTTAGATGGAGTCTTGCTCTGTCACCCAGGCTGGAGTGCAGTGGTGCGATCTCATCTCACTGCAAGCTCCACCTCCCGGGGTTCACGCCATTCTCCTGCCTCAGCCTCCCGAGTATCTGGGACTACAGGCGCCCCCCACCACGGGCGGCTAATTTTTTTTTTTTTTTTTGTATTTTTAGTAGAGACGGGGTTTCACTGTGTTAGCCAGGATGGTCCCGATCTCCTGACCTCGTGATCCACCCGCCTTGGCCTCCCAAAGTGCTGGAATTACAGGCGTGAGCCACTGCACCCTGACCCCCCTCTCCCCCCTTTTTTTTTCTGAGACGGAGTCTCACTCTGTCACCCAGGCCGGAGTGCATTGGTGCAATTCTCCTGCCTCAGCCTCCCGAGTAGCCTGTACTACAGGTGCATGGTGCCACACCCGGCTTATTTTTTATATTTTAGTAGAGACGGGGCTTCACCGTGTTGCCCAGGCTGGTCTTGAACTCCTGAGCTCAGGCAATCTGCCCTCGTTGACCTCCCAAAGTGCTAGGATTACAGGTGTGAGCCACCCCGCCCGGCTTACATGGGGCTTTTCTTATACTTACCAAAGTGTTCTATGCATTTCTTCATATTATCAACAGTTTAAACTACTTTTACTCCAACGATGTGCCATAAGAAGATGCTCTCCAAGCCTGATATTCCCCCCTTTTTGCTTCATTCTCTTAGACAGTGGTTGTCATCCTTGGCTGCATATTAGAATCATCTGAGGAGCTTTAAAAATTCCTAGTGCCCAGGATGTACCCAGACCAATTAAATCAGAAACCCACACATCAATGCTTTTTAAGGATTCCTCAGGAGATTCTAACATGCCGCTGAGGCTGAGAACCACGGAGTAGGGCTCAAACACTCCTTTCCGTGCTGGCCATGTTGGCCAATGAAGTTTCTCACCTCTCGTGTGGCCAAGGTTATCAGATTCATCATGCCTGGATGGACTTAGCCTAACCAGGAACATCAGTTGTCTGGGGGAATCTAGTGGCAGAAAAAGAAGGAGGCAAATAAAATCATGATAAATAATACCACAGCCACACAGCCACCACTACCACCAACCTTCAGTAAACCCCAAAGTTGTGCTTGTCTGGTTGTCTCTTGTTTTTATTCATTGAAGATTTTTTTTTTTTTTTTTTGACAGAGTCTCACACTGTCGCCTGGGCTGGAGTGCAATGGCGTGATCTCAGCTCACTGCAACCTCCGCCTGCCGGGTTCAAGCCATTCTCCTGCCTCAGCCTCCCGAGTAGCTGGGATTACAGGTGCACACCACCACACCTGGCTAATTTTTTGTATTTTTAGTAGAGATGGGGTTTCACTATGTTGGCCAGGCTGGTCTCGAACTCCTGACCTCGTGATCCACCACCTCAGCCTCCCAAAGTGCATCAGAGATTTTTATCTTCACTGGGAACCGCTCTTCTTGCATCCTATGGCATTCTGGTGGGACTATCAATCTCAGTGCTTCCTGTACAACCTGGCTACAGGGCTATTTCAATTCTGCCCACAGGGATTGGGCCAAAGGATAGACATGTGACTCAGGCAGGACCAATCAGATTTCTCCCATATTGAGTTGCCGGGTAAAATACAGCCCACCCAATTAACTGAATTTTAGATAAACCACAATATTAAGTGAAGCTGCTTGTGGCCAACTTTGCTGGATATATCCATTTACAGTTGGAGAGAATGAGGGTGATCTATAAAAGGAGCTGAGATGTAAGCAGGGTGAACAGCAAACGGGTCTTGAGAACACTGTTTGAGTCTCTGACCCTGGTCAACTCTAGGTCCGGACGTCCCAATGCTATGAGCCAGTAAATTTCCTTTCCTGACTAAAGTCTTTTGAGATGAATTTGCGTTACCTACAAACGACTCCTAAAAGTGGCAGAAATTGGTACTTGGAATTGGCATTGCTGAGCTGAAGAGGAATGAGGCACAGGGGAATACCTCAGTTTGTAGCTGGGAAGCCCTTGTTATCAGTAGCTATGCAGCTGGTTAAATTGTTACTGTGTGCTTACTGAGGATGGCACTTCAGGGGATTGGTAGATATTTCGGGGATATTAGAGTATGTTGGCTACTCCTTATGGCCTCTTGGGAGGGCATAAATGTAGTCCACAATAAACATGGTCTAAGCAGCTCATCTGGAAAACAGAGAGGAAGGAGCAAGCAGTGTTGACAGAAGAACCCTCCCTTCCCCTTTCTTTAGACTAAGTCTTGATGGGATAAGCCATGTGCCTTGCAGAATTGCAAAAGTAGAATTTCCTGCTTCTGGCTAAGATAGGAAGGCAGAAAATAACATAACAGAGCAATAAGATTGGATAGGGAGGAGCCAAAGGAATAGAGGAAGCTGATCCCCCAGTTCCTAAGCAACTCTTCAAGCACCCTCCTGTCTTCTGGAGGAAATGATACCTTCATTATAAAGTGCATCCCTGGGATATAACCTTGAGGCAGAGGGCAGACAAAATCTGCCTTAGAACAATTTTTTCGGACTACTTTCCTCCAAGCTTACAAGCTGTTGTTCAACATTCTAGTTCTAGCCTATTTTTAAAATTCCAGTGAATTTGACATTATGATATATTGTTTTGTACAGTCATTGCTTAGACTTTGCCAGTTATTTTACAATATTTATCTCATTATTCTACCTTCCATTTTAGACCTTTCATTTGGGACCATTTCTCTTCTGTGTGAAGCATAAGCTTTAGAATTTCCTTTAGTGGGCATCCTATACTAGTAAATTATCCGTTTTTATTGTCTCAAAATGTCTTTTAAAATCCTCATTATTGAAAGAAAAGTTTCTGGATATAGAATTTTACGTCTACAGTACTTTCAACACGAAGATAATCTTCATGTTTTCTCTCTTCCATTGTAGTGTTTGAGAGGTTGGTTGTAATCTTAATTGTGGTCTTCTTTTTCTTTGATATTTTGCAATTTCACTGTAATGTACCTAGTATAGAGATTTAAAAAAATATTATTCTGCCTGGAATTCACAGGTTTTCCCTAAACTGAGAATTGGTGTTTTTCAACAGTTCTGGAAAATTCTCAGCTATTGTCTCTTCCTGTATTGCCACTTTCTCATTCTCTTTGTTATTTTCTTTTGGAACTCTGATGATCATTATATTAGACCTTCTTGACATATTTCCTTTGTTTAATCCCTCTTCCATAGTTCCATCTTTTTATTCTATGGGCTGCACCTAGATCATTTATTCAGATCTTTTAGTTTACCATTTCTCTCTTCACAGGTGTTTAATCTGCTAGCTGATATGTTTAGTGAATTTAATTTTTTTTTTTTGAGACAGAGTTTCGCTTTTTTTGCCCAGGCTGGAGTGCAATGGTATGATCTTGGCTCACGTCAACCTCCACCTTCTGGGTTCAAGCGATTTTCCTGCCTCAGCCTCCTGAGTAGCTGTGATTACAGGCATGTGCCACCACATCCGGCTAATTTTTTTGTATTTTTAGTAGAGACCGGATTTTTCCATGTCGGTCAGGCTGGTCTCAAACTCCCAACCTCAGGTGATCCACCCACCTCGGCCTCCCAAAGTGCTGGGATTACAGGTGTGAGCCACCGTGCCTGGCCTTTAATTATTATTATTGTATTTTATTTCTATTTAGCTTAACTTCCATTTTTTCCTGTGTCTATTTATGTGTATGTTATATTCTATACCGAAAAATTCCAATGTCTAAAGTTCTTGCGAATCTTTTTTTTCTCTGAAGGTTTTTACGCATGATACTTTATTTCCTCATATGTTTTTATGTTTTGTGATTTTGGGCTGTAAGCTGCTTATTGTCCTTGGGACTTTATTTGTGAGGATTCTTGGGGACTTCTTTGAGGTTGAGTTTCTCCAGAGAGGATTTTTATTTGCTTCTGAAGTGCCCAGGGGCACTGCCTGAAGTTTTTTGGATCTCACAACTAGTATAATTTTGGATCTCAAAGTTATGTAAGAAGTGGCCTGTGTTTACAATGTTTTCCCCCTCCAACCCATGCCAGAGTGCATTGGTTAAGTTTCCTTGTTGCCTCTTTGTGGCGATCCAGGTTTACTACTTCTTTTTTTTTTTTTTTTTTTTTTTTTTAATTGAGATGGAGTCTTGCTCTATCACCCAGGCTGGAGTGCAGTGGTGCGATCTCGGCTCACTGCCAACCTCTGCCGCCCGGGTTCAAGCGATTCTGCTGCCTCAGCCTCTGGAATATCTGGGATTACAAGTGCATGACACCACACCTGGCTAATTCTTTTGTATTTTTAGTAGAGATGTGGGTTGTGCCATGTTGACCAGACTGGTCTCGAACTTGTGACCTCAGGTGATCTGCCCGCTCTGGCCTCCCAAAGTTCTGGGATTACAGGTGTGAGCCACTGCTCCCAGCCCAGGTTTACTTTTTATTCACTTTTAGAGTCTGGCCTCTGTGAACCTCAACGTTATGCAGGGATTTCACATTAGATCGCCAGCCTTGGGCTATGACTGGCTTTGGTTTCCTGTCCCCTACACCTCAGATAGTCATCAGAGAAGAACCTCAGCGTTTCCGGAGGTTAGCAGAAGCCTTCAGGGAGAAAGCAGACTTTGGCACTCATTTTCCTTCCAGACTTCTTATTTCACTTTGTTTTAGGGCTTTGCAGAGTTCTGACTTTCGTGCCAACTCAGTAATGCATTTCAATAGATTTTAAAAAATATTTTATTTAACCATTTAGTAGTTTCACCTGGGAAGGTCCTTCAGGGCAATCAAATCTACCCTGCTGTTGGAAACGAGCCATTATGTTATTCTTTATAACTCAAGTTAATTTCTTATTAAAACCATCATCAACTTTATCTCCGTTGATTTACCTCTTTTGCCCCTGCTCTGGGTAGGTGGGAAGGGCTTTATGGTGCCCAGGCATAGGTGTGGGAGCAGGGTGTGTCTGATCCCAATATCATATTCCCATGTGGGCATAGGTGGAGATGGTTCACCTGAATGATGACTGAGCCATCCATCCGGCCTTAAGACATCTTCAGGTCTGTTGGCTCTTACCAGCAGTCCTGTGTCATTGTTGGGGGTTGTATAAATACCCCACTAGGGCCCAGATCATCATGTCCTTCTGTGAATTAAAAAGAAATGCTTGTTCCTGCAGGGCAGGGTGGGCAGCAGGAATGGAGTTGGGGGCTCTCCTCCAGTGACTCTGATACAGGGCCTGGCCTGGACCACCAGGCTTCTGGGGAACGGAGTGGATAAGGCAGTCTTGGCTCTTGGGCTGCAGCTGAGCTGAGATAGGTCTAAAGGGGTTGAATGGCTTTGACCCAAGGGTACAGGAACCTGGTAAGTGAGTAGATCTACAGGGTCAGAGAGCCCATCCATGGCATGGGGTGAGAGAGAGCAGCCGTACAGGAGAATCAGGCTTTACTGGCTCAGGAAAGTAGGTACAGTGTTTGCATTAACTGATGATTTCCATAGCCCAGAAGATTTCCTTTTGTTAGTCTCTGGGCCTCTTGGGAGACAGACCTGGGGATTCAAACTTAAGGTGGCCTCATTCTCCCCCAGTCCTCTCTCCACGTCTTTCCCCTTCCCTCCGACTTTTCTTGCTACCTTCCTGTTTCTTAAAGCATCCATTATGTTTTTATTTGAAAAATAATGTTCATTTTTCTTTTATTTAACAAAGTAATATATGTTTGTGATAGAAAAATTAGGAAAATGTACGAACGTGCAGGGAGGTAATTAATGTTTATCCACAGTTTTGTCTACTATTACTTATAACCATTATTTATATTTTGCTATACATATTTATATATTTGTCATATATAAAACAGGAAATACATAATTCAGTAATTTATATTGTAGAATTTTGAGGATATTCTGTGGCATTTGTTTTTACAGACTTCTTTGTGCCCTTAATGATGTATTATGATGAATTTTATTGCTTTAAGCATTCTTTGAAAAGATTATTTTTAATGGCTCATAGATTCCATTTTATAGATGGAATATCAAGTATTCAATCAAGTGTTATGCATTGGTATGTTTTCTGATTTCTCAGTTTTATAAGTTACTCTTTAATGAACACACTTATGTATACATTTTTGTGTGTACCTGATTTTTTCCTATATGTATATTGCTGTAAATGAAATTGCTGGTTAATTTTTTTAGGTTTTTGATAATCATATAGAGGTGTACTACAATAATGTGATATATATGTATATACATGTCATATAAAATGCTAAAAAATATTGTGTCCTGCAAAACTGCGCACTAAAAATAACATGACTTAGGGAAAAATATGTTTGAGTCAGATCACTCAAAATTTATTTTATGTTGTAACCACAACACTAACACAAAATAACAAGCCTCATAAAAATGCTATTTAAAAATTAATTAGATTTCTAATAAATAGAGTAACAATTACCTTACATATTGGACTTTTAAAAGTTGTTTGATGGAAAGGGCTGTAAAGAAGAATTGGAGATGAGATGCTGAGTTATGGAGACAAGGACAAAATGCATATAGATAGTGAATTATCAGATAATAAGCACTTTCGTGGCAGAACAAGTGGCCATATCTAGCCAAAGGAAGAATGTGAGGGAACGGGCAGCATGAACTGCGTCCCCCTGGGGCTACTCATGCTCAGCTGTTGGGGTGGGCATTGAGTTTAGCTGCTGGTACTTCGTGGTTTAAAACACAACCTTCTGGGAAGAATTGCACAGGGACCAAGGCATGGGTTCTACTGACATCCTTAACTTTCTGCAAATCACGTATGACCTCATTCTCATGACAGAAGCATATGCTGTCACAAACAGACTGTATTGCAAAATTGCTGTCCAGAGAGGCTGTTTTTATATACTTCCACTATTAGTGTATACAAATCCTTAATTGGACACTACCAAACAGAGTATTTAAGGCCTTTAAAATTTTGCCAGTTTGATAGATTAAACATGGACTCTCAATTTAAAGTGTGCATTTTTTAATTACCAAGGAAGATGACTATTTCCTTTTTCTTTTCTTTTCTTTTTTTCTTTTTTGAGACAGAGTCTCACCCTGTCACCCAGGCTGGAGTGCAATGGCGCGATCTTGGCTCACTGCAACCTCCGCCTCCTGGGTTCAAATGATTCTCCTGCCTCAGCCTCCTCAGTAGCTGGGAGGTGACTGCCACCACACCAGGCTATTTTTTTGTCTTTTTAGTAGAGACACGATTTCACCATGTTGGCCAGGCTGGTCTTGAATTCCTGACCTCGTGATCTGCCTGCCTCGGCCTCCCAAAGTGCTAGGATTATGGGTGTGAGCCACCGTGCCTGGCCCGGAAGATGACTATTTCTTATATATGTTTTAGCTAATGATATATCCCTTGTGAGTTGTTGGGGTCTGTCTGTTGCCCATATTTTTATTAGAGTGTTAGTGCTTTTCTTATTGATTTTTTAATATGTGAAGGTTATTAATCCTTTGGCATAATTATGTCAATTTTTTTTAGCTTGTCACTCACCTTTCAGTTTTGCTTATGATTCTCTTGAGGTACAGAAGTTTGAAAATGTTCTCATCAGATCTGTAGGTCTTCTTCTTTACTATTTTACCCATTGCTTTGTGCTTGGAAAATTTTTCCCTACACAGCAATCAGTTAAATATTGACACATATTATCTTCCAGATTGTTTGTTTCTTTTTTTACATTTAATTGTTTTAATTAGCCAATAATTTATTTTGACATATAGTGTGATGTAATGATCTAATAATTTATTTTTCTCCTACTTCAATTTCCCTTAAGTTTCTGATACTTCCAATATTATATATTTATCTCTTATTATGAATTAAGCCCATTTAAGGGTGAGGCAACATATTTCATTGATTTGTATGCCAGTATTTTCCTTAGAGTCCTTCTATTTTAGTTATTGTAGTTTTTTTTTCTAATAAGTCAAGAGCTTTATTGATGCAGCAGGCACTTTACAATGAGACCCAGAATGTCTGTCTCCTCTGGGAAGATGAGATGTCTGTACAAACCCTTAGGTTCTTTTCCACTTCAAAATACAAGCTCTCCCTTTTACCACAGTCCTTGGATCTGCACCTGCCCAAACCATCCCATCACCAGCGCACACAGGTGCACCAGACCAATGCCAGGCAGGCAGCCACTCTGGTACAGTCTAAATGCCAGTTTTGCGGTACTTGTAGACAAGGGCGTAGACTGTCAGATCCTGCACAGCATTTAGTAAACAGACAATTTTTCCCTCCACCTTGAAAATAAAATACATTTCAGCAGATCACATGTCCTGAAATAGTGTAGTTGGGAGTTCCTAGGAAGAGGGTCCATTGTCCAGCCC
This sequence comes from Homo sapiens, assembly GCF_000001405.40. Lineage (NCBI taxonomy): Eukaryota > Metazoa > Chordata > Mammalia > Primates > Hominidae > Homo > Homo sapiens. The sequence continues at coordinate 6,355,220 of NC_000017.11, read as the reverse complement.
TTCTTCACCAGCCTGGGCATCAGAATTCTTCTCAAGGTAACATGAGGCTTTTTATGTATTTATTTATTTTGTATTCTTTTTTAAAATTTTACTTTAAGTTCTGGGATACATGTGCTAAACGTGCAGGTTTGTTACATAGGTATACATGTGCCATGGTGGTTTGCTGCACCCATCAACCTGTCATCTAGGTTTTAAGCCCTGCATGCATTAGGTATTTGTCCTAATGCTCCCCCTCCCCTTAACCCCTACCCCTCGACAGGCCCCGGAGTGTGATGTTCCCCTCCCTGTGTCCATGTGTTCTCATTGTTCAACTCTCACTTATGAGTGAGAACTATTTTTTTTCCCCAAAGTTTTCTTAGTTAAGAATTTCACCTGTGTCTTCTTCCAGATCAACTGACGTTTATCTACAAGGATTTTTATCAGGGTTGTTTGAAACCAGGGGTCAGCAAAATTGTTTCGTGACCAGTCAAGTAGTAAGTATGTTGCTTTCTGAGCAACAAATAATCTCTATCTTTTTTCTCTCCTCTGCCTCCTCCTTGTTCTCCATTCCCTCTTCCTTCTTGTTTCTTTTCTTTTGTTTACACACAAATATAAAATATAAAAACCATTCTTGGCCGGGAGCAGTGGCTTATGCCTGTAATCCTAGCACTTTGGGAGGCTGAGGCGGGCAGATCACCTGAGGTCAGGAGTTCGAGACCAGCCTGGCCAACATGGTGAAACCCCATCTCTACTAAAAATACAAAATTATCCAGGTGTGGTGGCGGGCGCCTGTAGTCCCAGTTATTCAGGAGGTTGAGGCAGGAGAATTGCTTGAACCTGGGAGGTGGAGGTTGGAGTGAGCCAAGACTGTGGCACTGCACTCCAGCCTAGGTGATAGAGTGAGACTCCGTCTCAAAACAAAAACAAACAAACAAAAAACAACAACAACAACAAAACAGTCCCTATTTCCAAATAAGGTCACATTCTGAGGTACTGGTGGTAATAACTTCACCATATCTCTTTTTGGAAAGCCACAATTTAACTCATAACACAAATAAATTAATTTGAAAAAGTACAATATAAATCTTTTCAATATTTAATATTTCCATCTAAACATTACATATGTATTCAATATTAATTTTATAACATTAAACCTTTCAGACAAACCTCAAAGAATACCAACTTATGTATTCATATGATTTTAAATTTGTCTTGCCACTATTTATGCAGGAATTTATGTCTGCATTTTAAAGTGAACTCGGTTTTTAGTTTTCTTTTTATGGTATATAAGTGTTATCAAGACCATCCTTCCTCGATAGAATGAAGAGCTTAGCTTTCTGTATTTGTCTATACATAAGAACAGTTTATTTGGAATGGGAATTAATGCTTCCTGGAAAGCCTGAAAGAAGTTACCAGTAAAACCATCAGGCCCTGTAACCTTTTTCTTTTTTAGATAATTTTTTGATAACTCTATATTTCCTCCATTGTTACTTCTGCCTCTCTCTAAGTGCACAGAATCATCTGAGCACCTGACTCAGAGGTCATGAAATGCTTTCCTTCACCTGGATGCATGAAAAGTAGACAGGTACTGCTGACTCTGAACTGAAGATCAAGCTGATGGGCTCTGACTATGGGAGGTTTCTTCAGCAGAATAAATTCACTGATGCAAGTTTCAGGAGTTTGTCTGCAAGGGCATTGGGCTATCTGTTGATGACCTGGGTATGTCTGTATGCATTGGAGTAAGTGTGCAGTGACCAGAAAGAGCGTGCATGGAAAAGTGAGTGTGTTTATTCTGCCAAGGGATGGTGCCATTAACAATCACCAAGGCAGCAAAGTAGGTTTGCAGCCAATGGCTGCTGACGTTAGTCACCTTCTTAGCCTTCACAACCCACTAACTCAGGCAGCTGTCTTTCCAGTCCATCCTAGCACACTCAGGGGTCACCTGTCTTGACACTACTCCTCACCATGTTTCCACATTCCCCACAAGGCAGGGAGCACACCTGCTCCCATTGGGCACCCACAGGCAATACCGTGTGCAGCAGCCCATTAGAGTATCAGTTTTCTGGCTATTCTTTGGAGCTGCTGGATCCAATATGTTTCCCCATATGCTTGAACCTTTTTGCAATTCTTCCATCTGTTTCTGGGAAATGTGAAGGAATTTAATGATCTTTTCTGGGGTTATTAAACCGACAGCTGTTGTCATTAATAGAGGACATTCTTTACTGCAGCGAATAAATGCTAGTCATAACTCCAGCCTGTCTTATGCACTCTCATTAATGACTACAGAGTTTGTCTCAAGACTGGGGTGATGAACATGGGGGGTTCTGATGCCAGCTTTGGAGATGATTCATCTTCAAAGTGTGAACACCCTCACTTCTTTTTTGTACTCTGGGCAGCTTTCGAGGCAAAATGTATAACTGGTAAAAAACAAAATCCAATCCAACAGCCGTTGGCTTTCTTTGAAAATGAAGGAGCTTGGGTGTTAAAAAGGAAAGATTACTTTTTACTGTATGTTTCAAATTATGGTTCATTTTCTAGTAGAATGTTAGAGGCAGAGAAACTAACTTTTATGGCTTGAATTGGAGGTTTTCTACACTGTTGTAGATTAGAAACAGAGTTTCTAAGGTTTCTAAGGTTTCTGTTTCTAACTTAGAAACAGAGTTTCTAAGTTCTAAGTTGCCAGGTTGTGCTCACACAGAAAAACAACAGGGAAAAGAGACTAGACAGTAGAGGCCCTGACCCGGCCTCCACCTGCCCCATGGACAGAGTGGGTTTTGCTGACTAGTAGCCTTAAGGATTGATCTTTGGGGTTCAGATAGCCTGATAAGGCCACAGAGCAGAAGGGTGGGGGAATTTGTTATCTTACCAGGGAGTGATTTCAAGATGCATGAACTGGGGCAGGTGAGGAATCTGGAGACAGCAAAACTTGGTCATCCTGGCAGTCGCCTACAAGTCTGCCCTGGCAGCAGGTTCTCCAGGCTGGCTTCTGACAGAGCTGGGTCAGGCAAAACCATGTTGAGGCCCCATTTTTATGAGAAATTGGGGTGCATGGCCAGACATGGTGGCTCATGCCTATAATCCCAGCACTTTGGGAGGCTGAGGTGGAGGGAATGCTTGAGGCCAGGAGTTTGAGACCAGCCTGGGCAACATAGTGAGACCCCGGGAGCTACTTGGGAGGGTGAGGTGGGAGGATCTCTTGAACCCGGAAGTTTGAGGCTGGAGTGAACTATGATCAGGCCACTGCACTCCAGCCTGAGTGACAGATTGAGACTCTATCTCTAAAAAAATAGTTGGGGTACAAATGGCCAGTGATCAGAGAAAGAACCAAAAAGGCCACCCGTATAAACTTGATGGCCCTTAGCAACTTGGGTCCCAAGTACTATTCTTCATCATCTGCCATTCAAACCTATTGAGAGTCCTGTGTTGCAGAGATGGGGGCTTAGCAATTTCCTCTGGATACTGGATTAGGCCAACTGGGGGGATATGGGGTGTATGTCAGGAGGCCTGACAGCTTAGATACCTGGATCTCTATCTACTTTAGTGCTTCTTGCTTAGGGAATGAAGATCAGAACCCATGGCAGCAAGCTAAGGGTGCCCAGCAGTTGTGGATCTGGGAATGAAAGAGGCAGGGGAGAAAGGGGATGTCTGGCACCACAGGGTCACTGCTATCCTCTTTGTCTAGTCATAAGCGTTTCCTCTGAAACTTTATCCATCCACCCATTCTTTTTTTTTTTTTTGATATGGAGTCTTGCTCTGTCGACCAGGCTGGAGTGCAGTGGTGTGATCTCGGCTCACTGCAAGCTGTGCCTCCCGGGTTCACGCCATTCTCCTGCCTCAGCCCCCCAAGTAGCTGGGACTACAGGTGCCTGCCACCACGCCTGGATAATTTTTTGTATTTTTAGTAGAGACGAGGTTTCACCATGTTAGCCAGGATGGTCTCGATCTCCTGACCTCGTGATCTGCCCGCCTCAGCCTCCCAAAGTGCTGGGATTACAGGAGTGGGCCATCGTGCCTGGCCCATCCACCCATTCAAAAATCCTTCCCGAGTACCTGCATATAGTGGACATCGTGCTGCAATGTGGAACCTAAAGGGCTCCAAGGCCCTGCCCCTGAGGAGCTTGCAGTCTAGTGGGGAGATAGCCACATGGCACCATCGTGTGATGGCTACCAAAGGGGGCACACACAAGGTCCTGCAGGGCACAGGAGAGGGGCACTAATTCTAGTCTTGGTGTGGGTAGGGGAAGATTCTGGAGGAAGTAACATCTCAGCTGAGGGCTAAAAAACAAGCAAGTTTCAGCCAGTACAGAGAGGGTAAAGAAAATTCTAACCAGCAGGGACAGCAGTGCAAAGGTCCCACAGCGAGCGAGAGGCTGGAGCTGGGATGTAGCAGGAGAGGTGAAAGAAGTAAGAGATGAGGTCAGGCATGGTGGCTCACACCTGTAATCCCAGCACTTTGGGAGGCCAAGATGGGTGGATCAGCTGAGGTTGGGAGTTCGAGACCAGCCTAGCCAACATGCTGAAACCCCGTCTCTACTAAAAATACAAAAAGTTAGCTAGGCATGGTGGCATGCAGCTGTATTCCCAGCTACTTGGGAGGCAGAGGCAGGAGAATCGCTTGAACCCAGGAAGCAGAGGTTGCAGTGAACCACGCCTCTGTGCTCCAGCCTGGGCAACAGAGTGAGACTCTGTCTCAAAAGGCGGTGGCCCACACCTGTAATCTCAGCACTTTGGGAGGCCGAGGCAGGTGGATCGGCTCAGGTTGGGCGTTCAAAACCATCTTGGCCAACATGGTGAAAGCCCATCTCTACTAAAAATACAAAAATTAGACGGGCATGGTGGCAGGCGCCTATAGTTCTAGCTACCCAGGAGGCTGAGGCAGGAGAATCGCTGGAACCCGGGAGGCAGAGGCTGCAGTGAGCCAAGATCGTGCCACTGCACTCCAGCCTGGGTGACAGAGCAAGACTCTGTCTCAAAAAACAAATAAAAAAAAGATGAGGTCATGCTTGGTGGCTCATGCCTGTAATCCTAGCATTTTGGGAGGCTGAGGCAGATGGATTAGCTGGGGTCGGGAGTTCAAGACCAGCCTTATCAACATGGTGAAACACTGTCTCTACTAAAAATACAAAAAATTAGCCAGGTGTGGTGGTGCATGCCTGTAGTCCAAGCTACTTTGGAGGCTGAGGCAGAAGAATAGCTTGAATACGGGAGACGGAGGTTGCAATGAACCGAGATCACGCCACTGAACTCCAGCCTGGGTGACAGAGTGAGACTCCGTCTCAAAAAACAAAAAAACAGAAACAAAAACAAAAACAAACAACAACAACAAAAGTGACTGGGGGCGGTGGCCCACGCCTGTAATTCCAGCACTTTGGGAGGCTGAGGCAGGTGGATCAGCTGAGGTCATGAGTTCGAGACCAACCTGGCCAACATGGCGAAATCCCGTTTCTACTAAAAACACAAAATTTAGCCAGGCATGATGGCATGCGCCTGTAGTCCCAGCTACCCAGGAGGCTGAGGCAGGAGAATCGCTTGAACCCAGGAGGCAGAGGTTGCAGTGAGCCGTGCCACTGTGCTGCAGCCTGGGTGACAGAGCAAGACTCCATCTCAAAAAAAGAAAAAAGAAGTAAGAGATGAGGCTGCAGAGGGAGGTATGGGAGATCAGTTCTTGGGCACACTCTATGGTTGATTAAATATTCCCTGACTTTCCCAGGCTTGCAGGTTATGTTTATGCAGCCATGTTTATAACGGCCTCACTGATGCATTTGCTGAGATTTTCCCACCGTCTTTACGCTCCACTCCATACACCAATTAAAATAGAAAATTCAGCAAAGTGAAAGATAAATGGCTGTGTGGTATTTGCCCAGGAACTTGGTGCTCTGCTAAGAGCTTTAATAACCACATAGTCTCCATATCTTCTTCTCGTAGGGGACAAAGAAAGAAAAAATCTCTTGGGCGTGGCTGCATTTGCTGGCATCAGGGATAGAGAGAAATGCCAGCACTCCCTGGGGTAGATAATTTAGGGGAGTCCTCTGCATCTGTCCTGTGGTCTTTCACAGCTCATGTTTTCTCGGAACGATGGACGCACAATGACGTCCTCAGATGGTTTCTCAGGCAAGTTTCCAGTGAACATGACTTTGTCCCATTCATTTGTAACTGGGCAGAAGCTGGGTCCCAGATTCTTCCTGGTGGAGGCATTCGGAGAGCAACACCCTGGCCTTAACACACTACATATCTTTGAATTTCACACGGGGGCAGCCTTCTGGGAAAACCACTGACAGATTTCTCATGGAGGAGTCAGCTGGGGTTGGGAAGAGTTGAGCGCTCATGATCCTCTCGTGGGAAATACAACATTAAATAAAATATTTCTCAAATCCTAGCAATGCTTGGCTCTTCTTTTGAAATGAAAATACTTTCAAAGAACTTCTCCCTCTTTGTTGACACAACTAATTTCTATTATAATGCTATTTAAATATGTACCAACATGCAAGCTGGAGTAAAATCTTTCTGCTGATGGCTCTCCTATGACCATAAAAGCAAAACAAATGGACAAATTATAGAACGGCAAACAACGAAATCAATAAAATTCAAATTAACAACATAAATTTAATGGGATATCGTTTTACCAAACTTAAATCAAGGCTCTCCCTGTGAGCATAGGGTTGACATTGGAGCATGGATCTTGGGAGCCTGGCAGGGGGAGGAGCTGTGCCCGACTCTCCTCTGGTGTAATGACCATGGGAAGCATGTCCATCTACAGAGCATGCGCATTGCAGTTCTTTTCTTCTTAGCTTGCCACAATTAAAGAAAACAATGGAACCAAATGTGGTCCTTGAAATCCTGGAGCAGTATTTTTTAACACACACACACACACACACACACACACACACACACAGGTGCATGTATACCCCAAGTACTCAGGAGAGCATAAAGGCTACTGTGAAAGAGGCACATCCTGGCATTATCGGACTAAAGGGGCAAACCAGATTCACACATGGAATGATCATGTCGTCAGGACTAAATCTCATGCCCCTTGATCCTAGCTGCTCACATACCCATGGTCTGAGAAAGGAGAGGTCAGAGAGACATGAACAGTCAAGGAGCCACAGGGGACATCAGCTTTGCAAGACATGTAGGGTGTAGCATATGGGAGGAAAGATGGCTGGGGAGGGCAGGTCGTTGGGGATGATCTTGGTAAAGACCAGCCTCGGTTGAGAACGCAAGCTCTTCTAGGCCTGATCAGGTCCAGGATGATGCCCCTCCCATCCGGGGCTCATGCTCTGACCCTGGCTTTAGGAGAGCTGGGGAGAGCAAGCTGCCAAGAGTGGCACCTGCCTGGCCCCACTCCCACTTTGATGTTCTCACTCACCTCCTGGGCCCTTCATCCAGTGCACAATGGAGTGACTTTTAGACCAGGCTGCCCCTCAGGGAAGGTAAATCCTAAGAGAGTAGTTACACCAGTAGCATCAAAGCTGAAAAACAGAGTTTATTGAATCAAAAAACATTTGCTGAGTCCCTGTATGAGGTTCTGGGTGGGAAACGATATCAAGGAATTCAATGAGGAAGATAAATCAGGAGTACAGATCATTGTAGCACAAGATAAAAACATGAATGTGCTGTATGAGAGGGAGGGAGGGTATCCCCAGCTAGGGTAGTGGTAGAATCTTGGCAGCCTTCTACAAGGAGGTGGTCTCTGCGGGGAGACTGCAAGAAATTCTGAGAAGATGAGGGCTGGTGGCCCGGGAAAGAGAGGCCAGGGTATGGAAGGGCACAGTGGGAGATGAAGCTGGACATGGAAGACATGGAAAGCCAGGCAGAGGAATTGGGAATGTCTTCAGGTTTCTTTACAGGGATGGCTCCAAACCCCATCTGATCAGCAAGTTGATTCCATCCCTCTGGAGGGAACATGGGAGCAGGACTGAAAAAGAAGACTTAGAAGATGATGGCAACTGTCTAAGAGAGAGAAGACAATGTCTTGGACCAAGAAGGTGGCAGCGGGAATGGAGGGAAGGGGCACAGAGTGACTGCCCCCATGACAGGCTTTCTCTAGTCCACTTGAGGAGTGCATGCAGAACTTTGTACTCCACTGGCCCTCAGCTCCTGGAGAAGTCCCCCAGAAGCAGGGTTTTCTTGCAGGGGGCTGGTGCTTGGAGAACATCCATGACAATCTCCATCTGCACCTCCAACTCCATGTCCTATCCCCTAGAAATTCTGATACATGCTGCTCGCTTGCAGTTCCAGCCCTAGATTGCTATTGTCTAATGGGCCTATCCTGTCTGACATTGACCTGGAGGTCGCCTTTGGCCAAAGAGTTAACTGAGATTGACCTAAGCCTTGAATCCATAACATGAAACAGTTTACAGTTACCATACTCATCTGCATACTCAACTACAGGTAATATTCCACGAGGTATGCTGTCAATTGCGGATCCAGCAAGAATCAGGAATTAGGGGGACTAATTCCTGAGAAAGAGAGCTGTTTGGGTCTATCTCAGGCATCCTCCTCCTGGTGTCCTGCCCCAGGCTGTGCTAGGAAGACCAGTTGGCAACAGGCACTGCGGCAGCTTGGGCACTGCGTGCATCAGAGCCTGGCCACACCGTACTGTTGCCTATGTTCTCTGTCTCTCCACCTTCACCAGGAGCTGTCTGAGACTGGAGACAGCCACATGTATCTTGATGGGCTGCTGCCAGCACCTGGCACAGAGCGAATGTCCAGTAAATGTGTGCTGAGTTGAATCAAACTGAAATTCTTTGTATGTGGGTGATGGCTTCCAGCTTAGGCACCAAGCAGAGAGCCTGCATATTCCATGGCTCACTGTTTTTGTTTTGGGCAGGCAGCCGCCAGCTACGTCCCTCTGCCTTCCAAGCCCTCCCCTCCACATAGTCCCTGTCACTCATCTTGCCCTGGAACAACCTCTCTTTGCTTTCCTGGCACTGTAGCTGTCTCTGCTGTCTTGCCCTGTGCATTTCTGTTCTGGGTCTGTATTTCCATGACCTGGATTTTAGCAGTGATTGAAAGTTTCCCTCTCCAGCTTTCTCACTGAATCCACAGAAATGTGGATGCTGCCTCTTCCTACTTAGCACAGTAAACAGTCTCTTCTGGAGCAGCTGTGTGTGTGTGTGTGTGTGTGTGTGTGTGTGTGTGTGTGTGTATGTGTGTGTGTGTGTGTAGGGGAAATATTTGCTATTTAACCATGTTCTGTCCACTGCTTTCTTTGTTGCCTCTTGACTTTCTATATGAGGAGAATTTAGGTGTAGCAATCCGGAGGGAAGTGGTGCTGGGACTCCTCTTAAAGCTTTATGGCAGAGCAAATACACTTTAAAAAAAACTTATTATATCATTGAGGTGAATAAAAACATTTTCCTAAGTATGCTTTTATTGGTCGGGCGCGGTGGCTTACGTATGTAAACCCAGCACTTTGGGAGACTGAGGCAGATGGATCACCTGAGGTCAGGAGTTCAAGACCAGGCTGGTCAACATGGTGAAATCCTGTCTCCATTAAAAATACAAAAATTAGCCGGGCGTGATGGTGGGTGCCTATAATCCCAGCTACTTGGGAGGCTGAGGCAGGAGAATTGCTTGAACCCAGGAGGCAGAGGTTGCAGTGAGCTGAGATTGTGCCGTTGGACTCCAGCCTGGGTGACAAGAGCAAAGCTCTGTCTCAAAAAAAAAAAAAAAGTGCTTTTATTCAGACTTTGCCTAAGATTGAGAAAATATCAATTGTCCATCTCAAAAAATATGAATATCATTCTTGCTTTTATTTGTGGCAGAGTTGGGGGCTGCTGGTCCTTGCGGGGAGTGGCTAAACCCCCTCCTGAGACCCCTTCTTGGCTCTGCCGTGTCTGTTGATCGGGCTGCATCCAAGCAGTGTGTAATGGTCTTTGGCTTCAGGAGGCTGGACTGCTGCTGGGCATATGTTCAAAGATGGGAGGGGTTCCTTGGAATGCATTTACCCCATCCTAGCTGTATGGTCCAGAACTGCAGTTTCATTTGTACCCTCAGACCTGGCTAGGCGCTCAGGAATTTTATTTATGCTCCCATGAAACCAGGTTTTAGCCCAAGAGCTGATCTTAGAGACTAAAAACTCAATTCCCTTGAATCTGACCCCTACATAGGATCATTGATTGATTTATCCTACAAATAGTTTTTGAATATCTGTTATGTGCCGAACACCCTTCTGAGTGCCGGGGAACACAGCCAGTGAACAAAGCAGATAAAGGTCTCTGTTCTCTGGAGATAAACAAAGAAGGGGCATGAAGGAATTTTCCGGGTGAAGGTAATTTTCTGTATCTTGGTAAAGGCTTGGGTTACACGAGTAACATTTGACATCTGTCAAAGCTTCTTGAGTGGCACACTGAAGATTTGTGCATTTCACTTGACGTAAATTTTGTCTCCAAAAATACAAAGGAGTTTTATACCGATCTCGAACTTTAGTAGATGACGCACATGCCGAAAGATTTAGTGGTGAAGCATAGGGATGTCTACAGCTTACTCGGAGTGCCGGCAAAAACAAGGTGGGTTGGCCAGGCCCGCTAATCACGTCTGTAATCCCAGCACTTTGGGAAGCTGAGGCGGGCAGATCGTGAAGTCAGGAGTTCGAGACCAGCCTGGTCAACGTGGTGAAACCCTGTCTCTACTAAAAATACAAAAGAATTTAGCCGAGGATGGTGGCAGGTGCCTGTAATCCCAACTACTCAGGAGGATGAGGCAGGAGAATCACTTGAACCTGGGAGGTGGAGGTTGCAATGAGCCAAGATCGTGCCATTGCGTTCCAGCCTGGGAGACAGAGCAAGACTCTGTCTCAAAAAACAAAAACAACACAACACAACAAAAAACAAACAAACAAAAAAACCAAAATGGGTTAATGGATGGATAGAGGGTTGGATAGATGGTTAGATATGGGAAAGAGCAAATGTTGCAAAATGTTAACAATTGTAGCACCTGGGAGGTGGGTATGTGAGTGTTCATTGTACAATTGTTTGAGTTTTCCTTATGTTTGAAAAAATTAGTGATAAAATGTTAGAAAACATGAAAATAGAAATGAAATAAACATTAAGCCAAGAAAGTTGAAAGTAATCCCTACCCTAGTTGAGTATACATTCTAGTGGGAGGAGAAGGACCATATTTAGCATATTGGATGGTGATAAATAGTTTGAAGAAAAATCAAACAGGGTGGGGATGCTGGGGTGGGGCAGCTGTTATTTTAAGTGGATTGTCAGAGAAGGCCTGAAATGGCCAGGGAACAGGTCTCGTGGGTCCTGGGAGACCAGTCCAGGCAGAGGGAATCGCACCAGTGGAGACCCTGGGGCCAGGCATGCTGTTCAGTCAAGGAACAGCAGAGGCCAGCTGGGCTGAAATGGAGAGAGGGAGAGGGATGAAGCTGGAGGCCATTGGGCCTTGTAGGTCTCATGGGAGACTTCTCTTCTGAGAGAGATGGGGAGCCCGCTGAAGGGCTTTGAAGCAGAAGCATGTAAGAATGAAAGGATCAGACTTCTGTGTTTTTTTTTTGTTTTGTTTTGTTTTTTTGAGACAGAGTTTCATTCTTGTTGCCCAGGCTGGAGTGCAATGGCGCGATCTCGGCTCACTGCAACCTCTGCCTACGAGGTTCAAGCGATTCTCCTGCCTCGACCTCCCAAGTAGCTGGGATTACAGGCATGCACCACCACGCCTGGCTAATTTTGTATTTTTAGTAGAGATGGAGTTTCTCCATGTTTAGTAGAGACGGAGTTTCTCAGGCTGGTCTCGAACTTGCAACCTCAGGTGATCTGCCCACCTCGGCCTCCCAAAGTGCTGGGATTACAGGAGTGAGCCACCACGCCTGGCCTGGACTTCTGTTTTAAAAGACTCAGTCTAGCTGCTCTGTTGAGGATAGAGTGTGGGCAGGTGAGAGCCAAGGCTGAGAGGCAGTCACAAGGTCTCAGCAAAGGGCCAGGGGAGATATGACTTGGACCAGGGTGTAGTCATGGAGGTGTTCAGACATGTTTGGATTCTTGATACTGTAACCTTATCAGACCAATCTGGTTCCAATCTGGTTCAACTTTTTTTTTTTTGAGATGGAGTGTTGCTCTATTGCCCAGGCTGGAGTGCAATGGCATGATCTTGGTTCACTGCAACCTCTGCCTCCCAGGTTCAAACGATTCTCCTGCTTCAGCCTCTCAAGTAGCTGAGATTACAGGCACACACTGCCATGCCCGGCTAATTTTTTGTATTTTAGCAGAGATGGGGTTTCACCGTGCTGCCCAGCCTGGTCTCGAACTCCGAGCTTAGGCAATCTTCCCGCCTCAGCCTCCCACAGTGCTAGGAGTACAGGCGTAAGCCACTGAGCCCAGCTTGGTTCAACTTGTAAGAAACAAAGTTATGAATTGTTTTTCAGTTGCCGTGACCCTCAGGTTGAAGGTCACATAACCTGAGCATGCCCAGATGAACCAAGTGTGCAGCCAGAGGGGGAACCTAAGGGCTTGGACTGACGATCGGGGGACTGAATTAAGAAGTGGACATGGCAGGACCCAGGATCCAATCAGGTCAATCCCTAGCATCATCTCATGGAAGGATCCAATCAGATCATGCCTCCCAGCATCACTTCATTGCAAGATCCAATCAGATCATGCCTCATTACTTCATGCCTATAAAACCTGACCCAGCCCTCTGTTTAGGAGGCACTGTTTTAGGAATTATCCCCTGTGGTCCCCTTACTTGCTGCAAGTAATAAAATCCCCTTGTTAAGTCCTTCTTTGTTGTGGTTATTGGGCTGGCACCCACGAAGAGACTGAACCCATCCATTGGGCATGTAGCAGTACATTTTCAAGGCGTAACCAACAGGATTTGTGTGTAGTGTGGACGTGAGGAGGGACTGGGCATGGTTCACAGTCTGGTTCTGGGCTGTTTCCTCTAAAGTCTTTTCACTGCACTCTAAACAATCACCACATCAACCTTTGAAGCATGGGAAAGGCTTTTGGAGAATGGGTTTAAGATCAACGACGTCTGCCCTATGAAACATCCTCCTCCCAGCTATGCTTGTTTCCTGCTTTCTGGGGCTGGGGGTGAAGAATCTGAGTCACTGGGATCCCAAGGCAGGGACAAGTTCTGCCATGTGTCTGAGTGAAATGGGCCAGGATATAGGCCAACCACCAGCTGGTGGAGCTCATGGGTCAGGCTGTCCACTGGCTCTGACCACCGTGATGACCACCCGGAGTTCTGGCACCATCGAACTTGGAAGCAGAATGTATTTGGCTGTGAAGGATGGCCACAGTGAAGCAAAGCTCCCTGGTGAGGCCTGTTGAATTTACAACTCTCCTCTTTGTGATGGGGCCAGACTTCCCAGTTCAAATTAGACCCAGGATGTTCTGTTAAAAAGAGGAACAGGCCAGGTGCCGTGGCTCACGCCTGTAGTCCCAGCACTTTGGGAGGCCGAGGTGGGTGGATCACGAGGTCAGAAGATTGAGACCATCCTGTCTAACAAGGTGAAACCCCATCTCTACCAAAAATACAAAAAATTAGCCGGGCATGGTGGCAGGCGCCTGTAGTCCCAGCTACTCGGGAGGCTGAGGCAGGAGAATGGCGTGAACCCAGGAGGTGGTGCTTGCAGTGAGCAGAGATCGCGCCACTGCACTCCAGCCTGGGTGACAGAGTGAGACTCCATCTCAAAAAAAAAAAAAAAAAAAAAAGAGGAACAGAGAATTATATTGATTGGCCATGTTTTATAATAACTAAAATTCAATAATATGCCTTGTTAAGTGCAGAAGGGAAAATATCCCTACTGTAAATATAGGTTACAGGAGACAGATGAAGAAATTATATTATAGCATGGCAAGATGCTAATGTGATATGTGTGTTCTATAAATATCATAGCATCAGATCCGCCTGGAAATTGAATTGGTTTTTCCTGCTTATTGGACTCAACCCTCTCTGCCTTCTTGTTGCATGGAGACTTTGAATGAAGAATAGAAATATGACCAGAAGGAAAGTTTTTATCTTGCTTAAAGCTGCACAATAAAAACGTGATTTTGTAAAGGGGAAAGCAATCTACGGTGATCTGTATTTAGGAGATACCTCATGGAGGCATCTTTGTCCTGTGGTGCTTCTGCAAATAGCAATTGAAGAATAATTAAATCTTTAGTTTGTTGGAACAGGAGGGGATTAAATGGGCAGTTCTGATCAACTCCAAATTGTCTTTTAAGTTACTAACTTTCTGGGTCACTGCACGTGACACAGAAGCCACAGTGGGGGCTGTACCAGCTTCCAGAGCCCAGTGCTCCTCTCTCAAGGAGACAGTGTTTGAAATATATCTGTGATTGAAAACACTTAAGTGTGAGGCCTCCAGCGCTCTCCCCTTTCAAGGTGACAGTAATTGAAGGATGGTACCATGCAATCCTGACATTTATAATCCGGCTGTGGAAAAGGTCAGCTTCCTTTTGGATCTGCACTGGAGCCAGCGGGACAAGAGCTCTGAGACGTCACATTACGTCTTTGATATTTTTAGGGATGCTTTGATTAATAACAGCTTTAATTTGCAATGTACGTATAATTATAACCACCCCCCCCCAACCCCGCACCACCACTCTCCACTTTAGGAAATGACAGATTCTAACTATAAAGCCATCATCTCCTCCACAGAAGGGTTTGAGTGGAGGCCCACAAGCACTTGGGGACAAATGGTCTGCATGAGAAATAAGCTCTCTTCTTCCTTAGATTCACGCTTTAGACCCGATCGTGAAGGGCCTGGAATGCCATGCCCAGGAAGCTGGAATCTACCTGGAGGGCAGTGGGAAGCCACAGACAAGTTGTGAGCAGAAGGGCATTAATGAGCATGTATTTGATTTTTTGCAAGTACACTTGGTGACGGATTGGGGTGAGGGTCAGGGAGGAGAAGGTGAGACTGGAAGTAGGAATTCCAGTTAGTAAGGAGGCTGTGGGTGCCAGCTTGTACCAAGGAAGAATTGGGTGAAGATGGAGAGAAGGAATTCACAGGGGAAGCATTTGGGATGTAGAATGGACAGATCTTGAAAACAAGCAGGTGTTGGTACAAAGAAGAGAGAGCTGTTGAGGCTGACTCTGAGGACCTTCCAGTTGACTGGATAATCATCAGGTCTTTCTTTAGATGATTCCAACCACTGGCGTTTGCTTAGGTTTTCTTGCAGAGAGGTTGTGTGAGTCTGAGCTATGTCTGCTCATGCCAGATTCCTTTAGGTCAAAGAACAGATTGTGGCCGTCGTTCTGGGCATTGGGTCCCACAGTGAGAGAATGTTTCCAGGATGCAACTCCACCAGTAACATCTGGGCCCAGAGTCAAAGCAGCAGATCCAGAGATTAGCCATGCTCAGTACATGGGGTGGAGGTCCCGGGCAGGCTGCCTTATGGTAAACAAGATGTACCCCCAGTTGTGTGGAGGGAAACCATCGCATACCGTGGCCACTTGTGACAATAGTGTATGTTCCAGGGTGACTAGAGAGAGTCAAGGATTGGTATGT
This sequence comes from Homo sapiens, assembly GCF_000001405.40. Lineage (NCBI taxonomy): Eukaryota > Metazoa > Chordata > Mammalia > Primates > Hominidae > Homo > Homo sapiens. The sequence goes on along the minus strand of NC_000017.11, from coordinate 6,339,778 downwards.
TGCTGGGGGTCAGAGTTCAGTTTGTGACGAAGGCATAGAATCATCTATGACCACGTCAGGGTTTAATTCTGTGGCAGGGGCCAGAGTTCAACATCTGGCCAGGAATAAGGCTCAGTGAGGGCTGAAGTCAAGGTCAGTGTGTAGCTAGGGTCATGGCTTAGGCAGTGGTCAAGGCATGGATCAAAGAGATTGATTGCATCAGAAATTATAATCAATCAGGATACTTCTTTGCAGATTGTCTGTTACAGCAGAGGCTGTGCCATGTGGTTTCTGCTCTGAGGTGGGCCCTATATTAGTTAAGGGTATTCTTTTAAATTTCACATTCTCAGAAGGAGAAAGAAATTTTTGATTGGCCCAGCTTGGGTCAGGTGCTCAACCCTGTGTCAACCAGTCATCGGTGGTCAAGTGGGGAGTGGAGAGGGGCGGTCTTAAAGCCAAAAGGACCTTACTATTAATAGCATATACTGGGGTAATTCCTAGAGAAGGGTGTAGTATTATGAACCAGGAACTTACCCCGCTTGTGAATTTTTTCCGAAGCATTATAACCTCTTTCTTGGGGGTGTTAACTCTGGTATTTCTAACCCAAAACTTTCCCTTACATCAGCTAAATCCTCGTCATGGAGCTCACTGCCTGGGTTTGTAGAGATGCTGATTTCTCAGAGGAACATGGATCTAATGGCGTATTAGGGTTCTCCAGAGAAAAAAATGAACAGAAATATTATATATTACACATGAATAAATACACATATATTTGTGAGGAATTGGCTACATGATTATGGAGGCTAAGAAGTTCCACAGTCTTTGTTCTGCAAGCTAGAGACCCAGGAAAGCTTGTGGTGTTGTGGTGTTACTCCAGTCTGAGTCCAGAGGCCTAAGAAACAGGGGAGCCAATGGCCCAGCTGAAGGGCAGGAGTAGATTGATGTCCCAGCTCAAGCAAGCAGGGAGATGGCAAAAGGGATGAATTCCTCCTTCCTGTCCCTTTGGGTTCTATTCAGGCCCTCATTGACTGGATGATACTCACCCACACTGGGGAGGACAATCTACTGAGTCCATTGATTCTAATGCTAATCTCATCCAGAAACAGCCTCACAGACACACCCAGAAGCAGTGTTTAATCTGGGCACCCTGTTGCCCAGTCGAATCGACACATAAAATTAACCATCAGAAATGGGAATCAGGAGCATTTCTTCTTTCCTGATGGGTAGTTTGTATAAACATGAGTTGGGCTTATTCGTGAGCCTGCAGATACACTTACAGGCCCCAGATATTTACATCTGGGAGGATCCTTAGACATTGCTTTGGGAAGGATGAGTCTCAGAGCGTCAGCCTCAACCACAGTCCACTTCAAGGGGTTCCATATGGCGACCACGTGGCTCCCACCATGAAAACTTGAACTGATTGGAGCCGTGGGGGCATTGGATCTCAAGGTGGTCAGTCCATGGGTTTGTCGGGCTGAGGGGGTGTCGAAGCCACAAGAATAATAATGACTAACTGGACCAATCAGAGTCTTCCTCTCAGAAATTTAAAGTCAGGGTACAGAGGACGTCATCAGATGGCAGCAGGATACAGAGGACTTCATCAGATGGCAGCAGGAGGACAAGTAGAGACAGAGTTAGCGGTAGAGCATCAGAGCTGCCATCCTCAGCTTCCGGAGCTGAAGGGTTGGTACAACACCATGAGAGGGTCTTAATTCTGCACAGCTTTCCCGTTTTTTTTTTCTTTTTTTTTCCGAGACGGAGTCCCACTCTGTTGCCCAGGCTGGAGTGCAGAGGCATGATCTGGGCTCACTGCAACCTCCACCTCCTGGGTTCAGGCAATTCTCCTGCCTCAGTTCCCCAAGTAGCTGAGATTACAGGTGCCTGCCACCACATCCAGCTAATTTTTTAATATTTTTAGTAGAGACGGGGTTTCATCATGTTGGCCAGGGTGGTCTCGAACCCCTGACCTCAGGTGATCCACCCACCTTGGCCTCCCAAAGTGCTGGGATTACAGGCATGAGCAACCATGCCCAACCTGCTTTCCCATTCTTAAAGAGCTTTCCAGGCCCTTTGAGATGCAGCCAGGCCATGCTCTCTATTTTCCCTGGAAGGCGTGGGCACAAGTCAGAGATACCTGTCTACCTCATGGTTAGACATGTTCCTCAATGAATCCCCATTTCTCAAGATGACCAGAATCTCTGCTCTTTGCATCCATCAGAAGGAGATTGGGTCAGTTGGTGAACTAAGCACTTGTTTATCTTTTTGATCCAAATCCCTAGAAATGATAAAAAGATATAAACAATTTATTGTAGCATTTAAAGCAAAGAGCATGTCCTTGATGGACCAGACATTATTAACAAAAATTTTAGAGGATAGAAAGCAAATGGAATAGAATTAACAGCAAATACTGCTGTAAAAAATGGGAGTTATGAGTCTATGGGTGTGCAGACGGCTGATGGGGGCAAGGAGAGAGCCAGGGGGCAACTACCAGGGTGAAGCAGACAGGCAGTTTGGCCTCTTTCTTGTCTCAGTGATGGGTGTGGTTGCAGGCCTCTGTGGATGGACTCAGTCTCAGAAAAGTCACAGTTATATGGGGATCAATGAGCTCAACCATCAAGCTGAGGAAATCTAAAACACACTGCCCAAGGACAAAGCATCAAACATTGAGATTGACTTCCAATTTCCAATGCCTGACAAATGGGAATTAGCAGAGAGAAAGAAAGAAATGGAGGAAATTCTAAAATAAATAATTTCCCGACTGAAGAAAGATATGCTTTTCTTGTGGCTCAGTTTCCTCTTCTGTAAAATGGGCATAATGATAGTATCCAACATAGGGTGTGGAAAGTATCACCTGAGTAAAGCACACTCAGAATAGCCTGGCCATGTGAAAAAACTCGATGCAAGCTATTAACATTAATGTTATTGTCATTGTTATTGGAAGGTGCCAAAGGGTCAAACATGTTGAGTAAAATATGCACCAAACGCCAGACCGATCATAGAAAACTCTTGCAACGCCAAGGATAAAGAGAAAGATCATAAAACCTTTCAGAAAGGGCACGAGAGAAAAAAGAAACAGAGAAACAGAGTCTATATAAAATAACAAGTATGAGCAACACTGAATACAAGAATAGAAGGAGCCATGTACTCCAAGCTCTAAGGGAAGGTAATTTAAAGCTAGAATTACATACCTTGCCTCAAATGCCCTGGAGGGTAAAGATATTTTCAGTTGAGCAAGGACCCAGAAAGCTTACCTCTCATAATCCATCTGAAAAAATGACTAGACATGAAAGAAGAATTGAAGAAGACATTGGGATACAAGATGCAGTGGTATGCAAAAAAACAATAAAATTTGAAGATAAGTAATATTTGATTGTGAAGAATAACAGCAAGCTGGAATTAATGTCTTAGACGATGTACTGTGAGACAACAGACAGGGAAGGTATACGGAGAGGGGTGAAAGGAAGCAAAGAATACTCAGAATTTTGTTCTGTTCAGGGAGAAGATATAGATACTGATTACTTCTAGATACCGACAGGTAATATAGGTTTAAGTATGAATATGAAATATTTAAGGACATTCTCTGTAAAAATCAAAACTATTAGAAGGAAAAATATTAAATATCAGAGAGGAAAATGTGATAAATATACTTAGTCCACCCAATAATAGGTAAGAAGTAAGGTGGGCAGACAAGAAGAACAACCAGAAGAAATAGAAGACACAACATGAAATGGTAACAATCAGTCCAAAGTAACTGTGAATAACAATGGCATCTCTGCTACAGTGATGGGGTAGAGTCACAAAGTATGGTTTAATTAGATTTAAAGAAAATAAAGAAATGTAATATTTCTTGAATATTTGAGTTACAGAATGAAGGTTTGGACTGATTCATGTTATTAGAATTAATCTTGCTTCACCTATTTTTATAGATTAGTCCTCTTCCAATTTTACGGTGCCTCAGAATCACTTGAAGTGCTTATTGAAAGTGCAGCTTTCTGGGTTCTATACCCAGAGATTCAGATTTTGTAGGTCTGGGGAGTGGGACAGGACCATCTAGGGTCTAAAGGTCCCTTGACTGCTGTGAGACTGCCAATCCCTTCCCATTCCAGGTTGGGGAAGCTCACTCGCCTCTCTCCCCTCAGGGACACCACCCTGATGTCACGAAAGATGGAGAAGAGCTGTCTTCAGGAGGCCTTCTGCTTTCAATTCTTCTAAAGTGCTAAAGCCAAGAAGTGAAATGGCCTGGTTGCCTTCTTACAATGGGAAGATATAGTTGGCTTTTTAACACGTGCTCCTGTGAATGATAAGAGTTTTGCCCTATCCAGCGGTTCTGCTCATTGAAATCACCTGAGGAGCTTTTAAACATTCCAATGCGCAGGTCACATCCCAGGCCTGTTAAATCTGAATATTTGCAGAGGGGATCACCATCAATTTTTAAAAAGGTCTTTAGGAGGCCGGGTGCGGTGGCTCACGCCTATAATCCCAGCACTTTGGGAGGCCGAGGCGGGTGGATCATGAGGTCAGGGGTTCGAGACCAGCCTGACCAACATGGTGAAACCCCGTCTCTACTAAAAATACAAAAAAAATTAGCTGGGCGTGGTGGCGGGTGCCTGTAATCTCAGCTACTCAGGAGGCTGAGGCAGGAGAATTGCTTGAACCTGGGAAGTGGAGGTTGCAGTGAGCCGAGATCCTGCCACTGCACTCCAGCCTGGACGACAGAGCAAGACTCCGTCTCAAAAAAAAAAAAAAAAAGTCTTTAGGAGATTCTAAGATGCAGCCAAAGTTGAGGATCACTGTCCTAACAGTGTGGTCCTCAGAGGCAAGATCTATAGACTTCTGGGTGTCTACACTGGAGAATTAATCCCACTCCCATCCATACGCCTGCCCATCCAGCCATCCACCCCTTCCCTTCCCCTTCCTTCCTTCCTTCCCCACTTCCTTCCTTCCTTTCCCCCTTCCTTCTTTCCTTCTTCCTCCTTCCTGCTGTCCTTCCTCTCTCCCTTCCATCAACCAATCTATCCATCCTTACATCCATTCAACAAATATTTATTGACTTGACTTTATGCCAGTCTCTGTTCTGTGTACTGAAGATCAGAAGAAGTACACAAAATGAGCAAAAATCCCTGATCGTGGGCAGCTTTTATACTGAACAGAAAAGACAGACGTGAGATCCGAATCCTGTACAAGGATGTCTATTGCAACATCATTTGTGAGAATGAAGAAATTGGAAAGAGCCCAAATGCCTAATAGAGGCTGTTAAATAAACTCTAGACTCTTGTGCAGCAACCAGGCACTTCCAGATGCATACAGGATAGATCGAGGCGGAATGCCAAACCTTACCATTCCAAGGCTGTATACAATTAGTTACTTCAATGTTACTTCATGACTTTAAGCCTCAGTTTTCTCATCTGTAAAATGGGGATAATAATATTAGCCTCTTCAAAAGTTATTTTATTTTAAAAATGTATTTATAGAATTAAATGAGATTATGCATTAAAAAGCTTAGTAAGTTCACGGCAGAGGAAATCCTCAATAAATATTACCTGCTATGGCTTTTGTTGCTATTGTTATGCTTGCTAGCATAATGGCTGCATGTTAGAGCCACTGGAGATACAGAAGTATCTGTATATATAGCAGAAAAAAATACCAGATGTAGAAGCAGAAAACTTGAGTTCTATTGTGTAGAAGCAGAAAACTTGAGTTCTATTCTTAATTATACCAGTTATGCATCATATGACCTGAGGCAAGGAACAATTAGGAAATATATCAATTAGAATCTCATTGCATTTCATCTGTTAATAGTTAATAATTTGTTTCTTAGTTAAGATCTCTACTCGGATTACTTATGTTCCCCAGTGTTCTTAAAACAATGGAGGTGGTAGGGTCTCCTGAAGTACACTTGCCTTGTCTTATTGCCAGTCACAATAGGGATCTAAGCTTCACCAGGCATGTCCTGGCGACTGAACCCCGAGACGCCTCCTCAACAGAGTGGCAAGAGAAATGCCCAGGTATGAATTTGCCAGGATTGCTCCTAGCTGTGGAATTAAAAAACCCAAATAAACTCACTTTAGATAGGTCTTTAAAAAAAAAAAACTCAAACCAATGAAACATATATGAAACTAGAGAGAACAGTGCAATGAACCCCTATGTATCCACCATCCAGTTTCAACAGTTGTCAACTCATGGCTAACATTTCATAAAATGGATCTTTAAGTATAGCCTGCATGCAATGAGTGTGGTATCTCAGAAGGCTTCCTAATTCCTGCAGTCCAGGTCCTCGTGATATCAGGAGCCAACTCCAGCCTGAATGCTGTAGAGTGCATGCGAAGGAGTGGCTCATGCCTGCCATCCAGCATTTTGGGAGGCCGAGATGGGCAGATCACAAGGTCAGGAGTTCAAGACCAGCCTGGCCAACATGGTGAAACCCTGTCTCTCTTAAAAATACAAAAGTTAGCTGTGGGTGGTGGAGCGCACCTGTAATCCCACTACTCAGGAAGCTGAGGCAGAAGAATCACCTGAATCCAGGAGGTGGAGGTTGCAGTGAGCCAAGAAAGCACTGCTGCATTCCAGCCTGGGTGACAGAGCAAGAGTCTCTCTCAGAAAAAAAAAAAAAAAAGAAAGAAAGAAAGAAAGAAAAAGAAATAAAAGAGTGCATGAGAAACGGACTTTGGTGCAGAGCAACTTGTTACCTGTATGCCTCTGAGAACCAGTCTTGGGTGAAAGAAATGGATAGCAATGTGTCCCAGTTAGACACATGGCTGAGTACCTAACACCCATTATGTTATTTATTCTTCAGAAAATCCCTAAAAGGTAGGCATGCTGTACCTACATAATGGGTGTACTTAATACCCATTATGTTATTTATTCTTCAGAAAAATCCCTAAAAGGTAGGCACTTGTATTATTTACAGACTGGGAAAGGACTTCCATAAACTGCAGGGCAAAGAGCTGGTAAGAAAGTGGCTGAGCCTGTGTTTGAACCTTGGTCCAACACCCAAGCCTGATGCTTTCAATGTCTCTCTTCTACCAGCTAGAGGGGGTTCCAGGAAGGCAGGAAATAAAAAACTGAGTGAGCTCTGAAAACATACATGGTGTTGCTACCCATCACACACAGATGGGTTTGGGAAGACCAATAATTAGCAATAATTAGTGACCTCTAAACAGCACTGTTTGGAAGCTTGGCACACGCTTGGCATGGGGCATCCAAGCCAGTGCTTGATACTGGGCTTTTGTTATGTTGGGAGCCTGGTGATATGGAGGTCTTCTCTAGGCCTACAAGACAAGCTGTGTCTTCTGTCACTCACTCTGGCTCTTGCATTGGTCTTCATGCCATTGCCAACATCCCCACTTGCTCCAGATTAGCTGCTAAGTCTGAAACTGGACCCAATATTTCAATAAAAGCCTCATTTAAGTTGCATAGTGTGGGAGGACTAATACCATGTTTATCGACTGGATTAATTATCGAGTGAGTTTCAGAGTCCATACATAACAATTTCAACATTGTTCTTATTAATGGGGGTTTCCTCCCCGGGAATTGCAACTGCTATTCAAATTGGTTACCCTGTAGCAGCTACTGGAATTTCAGTGAAGGGCTCATTATGTTTGCATATTTCATGCTTCGTTTTCTGTTAAAAATGATCCATATTAGCTAATTGTGGATGTGTTGCTCAGGTCACAGCTGCATGGTGTGAACTCTGTACAGGAGTGATGGATCTTGCATCCTCTGGGCTCAGAGATGGTGCCTCTCAGCTAGCAGGTGGAGGTGGTGGGAGGGAGGCAGCATCTAAACACCAAATAAGTGGGAAGCAAAGTTGTTCTTTCCTTCGAGTTGTTTAGTGGAAAAGAAACTCATGCTCCAGCACAGAGCCTACTGGAGCTTGGAGATGTGGTTCAGAAACATGGACATGCCTGTTCCCTTGTACTCCCGACGATGGACACCTCAGCCATCTCTAGGGGAGAACGGTCCTTCCTCATTTCATCCTCATAGTATGCTCTAGGGTCTGGTAGAGCAGAGCACTGCATCCTCTCATCACATTTGAGAAATCTAAGGCTCTGTGAGGTATTAATAAAACGTCTTGTCTGAAGTCACCTAGAGACAGTGGCAAAGTCAAGTCTTAGATATCTACTTCAAAGCTCTGTAGAGCTCATGTCTTCCCTTTGTGCAACACAGCCCCTTCCTATTAGATGAGTGTCAGGGACACACATATAATTTTTTGAGTGTTCAACATGGCTTTGGGTAACCATATGTTTTGGGTGACTCTTCCACCTGAGCATGTGACCCAGACCTTCCAATCAAAGTATCTCATGCCTTGGTCTCAGCGATTGGTTCAGCCATGGACATGTGATCCAAGTTGGGCAAATGAGAGCTTTCTCTGGAATTTTTGCTGCAACAAAAGTTTCTCTCCTTCCACTGGTATGACCAGCTGTGAGGAAGATGGAGGTCTAGAGCTGGCAGTGGCCACTTTATTGCCACATGGGGAGGCCCTCCCTGGGAATTTAGTGAGAACACAATGAAACAGTGTCCTGTGACACTATTGGACCTCTTGGACCCCACCATGCCTAAGGCCAGCTAAACTACAATGCCCAATTACATGAGACATTAGATTCCTTCCCCACCCTTGATTTTTCGGTTTGAGTTGGGTTTCTTATTTTGTATACTACCACAGGGCGGTTGGGCATGGAGGACTCCAGGGCATCTTCCAACTTACAGGATGCTCCATCCCCATGGGGCCATTGGGCTCCTCCTGCTGCCTGGCTGAGCTGCTCAGGTTGTCATCTAGGAGGCAGACACTTGAAGTGTTAAGTCTGTGACTGGGGGCATTGCTTGTCAGCCAGGTTTCCCTAGCATGGTGGGGACAGAGAGTAGAGAGCTGGGGCTCTACAAGGACAGGTCCAGAATTCTGTGCTGGGTCATTTTGCCTGGGGTCTCTGGAGCTACCCTCCAGGGATACACCATAATCAGAGAGGACACACCAGTGAATCAGTGTGTGTAATTGTTGACTATGCTAGTGTTTCAGATGTCTGGGATATGAGCTGGTAACATTCACAATGTCACTATGACCCAGCTCTGCCATCCATGGGTTTGGGCAAAGAAGCAGATGATAAAAGTTATCATCAGGACACTCAGGGTGAGCTTGAGAAGGTGACATCTAAGCAGCAACTTGAAAGAGGTGAAGGAGTTTGTTTGGCTGACTTCTGGGGGAAGCCAGGGGGAATAGCCAGCACAATGGCCTGAAGGTGGGTGTTAGGCCTCGCATGACTGAGGAGCAGCAAGGAGCCCAGGAATCCTGGAGCAATTAAGGGAGCACATGGTAGGCGACGAGACCAGAGAGGTGGAGAGGGCCAGGCCAGGAGAGCCTGGTCCTGGATTGCCCAGGATAGGTTCATTTGTACCTATACTTCTGGCATAAGTATTAACAGCATCTCATGTCACTCTCAAGAGTACCCCTGTTAGGATGATACAGACAGTGGACACGTACCTGCAGGCCCTTGTAAAGACTGGTTTTTGCTCCTAATGAAAAGGGGCTTAAATTGAAGGATGAGTAGGAAGGTGAAGAGGGATAGAAAGAGGATTCCAGACAGAGGAAAGAGCTTGTGCAAAGGCCCTGTAGTGGGAGAGAAGGATAGTATCAGATCGTGATTTTGACTAATCACTCTGGGTGTACCATGAAATATGGGTGGGGTGGGGTAGGGGCCAGCGTAGATGTGGGAGAGCAGTTAGGAAAGAATGGCCATGGTCCATGTGAGGAACGATGCTTGTATGTAACTGGCTGAGCACAACAAACTTTGCCTAGAACTGAAAGGACCCCATAGGTATTATTATTATTATTGTTCACCAAGACCCAAGTCTTCCAGAAAACAGAATGTGGGTCCCAGTCTCTGGTTCAGGCTATAACTAGCGTGACAATTTCTTGATAAATACATTTTAACTATAAATCATTAAGGTTGTTGGCAGCAGGTCCTCTAGTAAAACAGCAGATAATGCCACTCTGTTATGGTGGGTTGTTGGACTAGCATCTTTATGCAATTTCAGAAAATTTAACCTAGTAAATTGACTTCTCCTAGAGAGTTGAGCTAAACATTTTCTAATAAGTAGGGGGTTAATTTCTCTTCCTTTGTGATGCTGTTAGAATCTGTGATAACTACAACATAAATTTGTATAATCTCACACTCTCAGCAGGAAATAATGAGGGAAAAAGTGGTTTTGACAAATAATTATGATTGAGCTGATGTGAATCCACTTGAGCTGTTAATGTATGTTGAGTGATATGTGAATAGTGCATGGTGAATTCCAGAAGCTCTTCTGATGGTCTCCTGTTGAAGGTACAGACTTTGGGAGAGACTCGCCCTCTTCTAGTGTGACAGTTGTGCTGGTGGACTGCCTCCCATTTGATCACTTTGAACTTGATATTTTGACATTTTGACATTTCTTTCTTCCCTGGGGTGTTTCTAACCCCTGCCATGAGCTGGGGCTGGTGGCCGGGGTAGGATTCCGATGTGCGCTGCACTCATCAGCCGCATTCCTTCCTGGGTTTAGAGCAGAGACCCTGGAGAACATTTGAAAGATTCTGGTTCAGGGTTGAATCTGATCAAGAGTCACCTCGTTTGGAGTATCAGACATTAGTCCTGCCACAATGCATGTGGCTGAAGGGTGTGAGATAGCAGACTTTGGTGGGGATCAAAATGGTGAAGGCAGACCGTTAGGGGAAAAGAAATGGTGAATGGTCACCAGCTTGATGGAGCAGTGAACACCGGTGATATGTCTGACTTGAGGTATGTCCCGAAGTCTGTGATCCTCTCAGGTCTAGCCTGTTCAGATCTCCCCCTCTTTGTGGTCCTCAAACTGAACTCATGCCAGTTGAGTTCCAACCTTCCAGAGTTGGAAAGGTAAGATAGATATTGAACTCACATACCTCTCTCCAACTTGGCTGCTTCACCTTAGGCCCCACCACCATCTATCTCTTGAATCTGCAGCACCTTGACAGCCAGGAGGTATGCTCAGTTTCACTCTTATTATTTTGCTTACCTGAGCCGGTGTCTGATTGCAGGAGTGCTCATATGAGTACAAATGTGCATAGAATATCTGAGGCAGACATGTGAGTGTAGGCCTGCTTGTACCCAATTGACTGTTTGCTTTTCCTGAAGATCTTGTGGGCCCTTCCGTATCTGTGGCCATTATCCTGAGTGGTCATTTTCCCCATACTGCTAAGTGTCTCCTACTATTCATTCTATCTTCCAAGTGCTAGCTGGGCACATGACTGCCAAGCTAGAAACTACATTTCCCAGCCTTCTTTGTGGTCAGAGAAGCCAAGTGACTCATGTGACTAAATTTGAGCCAATGGGATGTGAGTGGAAGTGCCACGTGAGTTCCACCTTAAAGACAAACTCACTTGACCGGGATTCCCTTTTGCTACCTTCTTGCTTGTTGGGAAACATCCATGGTAGGAGACCACCTGGACACAGAGATGGAAGTCCCATGTTGAGGCTGGCAGTGCTGACTGGCCTGCCCCGAATGACCTTGTAGAATGAGGCCATTTACCCTTTCTCAACCCACACCCATCTTTGCATAAGACAGACACTATCTCATTTAAGCCACTGCATTTTTGTTTGTTTGTTTGTCTGTTTTTGTTTTTGAGACGGAGTCTCACTCTGTCGCCCAGAGTGAGATTGTGCAGTGGCACAATCTCGGCTCACTGCAACCTCCGCCTCCCAGGTTCAAGCAATTCCCCTGCCTCAGCCTCCCAAGTGGCTGAGACTACAGGCACCCGCCACCACACCTGGCTACTTTTTGTATTTTTAGTAGAGACGGGGTTTCACTGTGTTAGCCACGATGGTCTCGATCTCCTGACCTTGTGATCTGCCTGCATTGGTCTCCCAAAGTGCTGGGATTACAGGCGTAAGCCCCCACGCCTGGGCTGCCACTGCATTTTTTAGTCTCTTTGTTATACTCCTAAGTCTGTACTCTGGTCAGTATTTCACGTTGATCCTACCCATGTATAGCAAAGCCTGCAGCCTCTCCAGAACCTTTGGGGCTGTCATCTCATCTGATCTTAACAGTGGCCCTTGTGAGTCAGGGAGGGTATGTAGCAGCTACCCCACTTTACTGAGAAGGAAACTGAGGTTCATAGAGGACAGGGTTTTGCCCACGGATACAGATGCAGAGTGGGGACAAGAACCCAGGTCCCGAGCCTTCCCTTATCGAGCTTGTTCCCTGTGCCAGGCTATTGCCTGTAACACTGAATCAAGACCATAACATCGTTATTAAAATATTTACTTGCATGAAAAATTTCTATTACCTGAAACTCATGTATTATAGATGGAATCAGTAGCTTAGAAGGAAATAAACAAGAAGAATCACTTTAATAACAAAAGCTATGCAGATAAATTCCTCATTTCAGCAAGCTCTTGGCGGTCCCAAATAAATATATCATTTTTATCAGGCAAGTGCTCTAGAAACGGCATCTTCGGGAAATATGTCAAAATAATCTCCCTGCCTGCACTCCTTTTTGGAGGAAGGAAATATGATGGTGGCAGCACAAAGAACAATTAACAGGAGTTTCCTGACTACAGTACAAACCGTCATAAACAAGGGTAATGAGAGGGCTGGTCAAGCCGATCTCAGGGTTTCCTTCCAGCCTCAGTGGAGTATGGCAGGGGGCGCACTGGGCTGGGAGTCAGAAGTCAAGACTCCACCCTCTCAGCTTTTGGCTGTGTGACATGAGGCATCCTCTCTGAGCCTCTATTGGCCTGCCTCAGAGAGCTATTTAGGTAGAGAAATTTTCAATTGGATATAACTGTGCACAAAAGATGTGTGACCCTATTTGTCATTAATGTTATTATTTAAGTCATGTATGGGAGGAATGAGGGAAAGAATTCCTGAGAATAGAGGTCTGATAAGTACTGGCTGGGGAGTGAAGGGTGTGTGTGTGTGTGTGTGTGTGTGCGTGCGTGTATATGTGTGTGTGTGTGTGTGCATACATGTGTGTATGTGTGCGTGCATATGCACATGTGCACATGTGTGTATGTATGTACATGTGTATGTGTATGTGCGTACATGCACTTATGGATGTGTATGTGTGTACATGCATGTGTGTGTGCATGTGTATGTGTATGCATGTGTTTACATGTCACGCACGTGCACATATGTATGTGTGTATGTATGTGTTTGCATGTGCATGCATGTGTGTGTGCATGTGTATGTGTGTATGCATGTGTGTCTACGTGTGTGTGTGTGCTGTCACGCATTCTTCTGTGTGCTTTTCTGTAAATGCACCACCATTCACCCAGGCCTCAGTGATCAAACCCCAGAGCCATCTCAGCCGCTGGCTCTCTCCCCGCTGTAGACAGTGAGTCCTGAGCCCTGCGGTGCCTGACCTTCCTAGTCATTCTTGTTCCCAGCGCCATGACCTGTCCTCCACCTTACCGTTCCCTCCTGAATCATGATGCCATAGCTTCTGATTGCTGTCTCAGCATGCCCTCGTCTCTCCCCCTTCCCAGCCTTTCCTGACACTTGCCACCAGTCTCAGTTTCCCAAAGGACAAATCATGTCACTTCCCTTCTCAGAAGCCTTCATTGACTGTAGGATAAAATCCAAAGTCCTCACTTGACACTCGGGGCTCTTTGTACCTCTCTCTCCCCAATGCTGCCCAGTGCTGGCATGTAACCCAGCAGTCCCCAAACAAGCCCTCTCTTTAATGCTCCCACGCTGGTTCACGCCGTGATCTGTCTGCCACAACCTTTCCCCTCTTCTTCGGGGGCAGCTGCTCACCCTCTAAGATACCCTTGGGGATCGTCACAGGCAGAGGCAAAGGCTTTCTCTCCTTGGCTTGTCTCAGACTCCCGTCCGTACCTATGCAGCTCCCTCCACACCCTCTGAGCTGCAGCTTGCCATCTGCTTGTTCCAGTCCAAGGCAGGAAGAGGAAGAGGGAGTATTGCCAAGGTCCTGCTCTTTTTTTTTTTTTTTTTTTGAGATGGAATCTTGCTCTGTTGCCCAAGCTGAAGTCCAATGGCACAATCTTGGCTCACTGCAACCTCCACCTCCTGGGTTCAAGCGATTCTCCTGTCTCAGCCTCCCAAGTAGCTGGGACTACAGATGCCACCACACCCAGTTAATTTTTGTATTTTTAGTAGAGATGGGTTTTCACCGTTTGGTCAGGCTGATCTCGAACTCCTGACCTCAGGTGATCCATCCACCTCGGCCTCTCAAAGTGGTGGGATTACAGGCGTGAGCCACGGTGTCCAGCCAAGGTCCTGCTCTTAAGGTGCAGCAACCCTGCCTGCTAGCAGAACATGGGCTCTGACCCATCAGACCAACATCTCCACTCTTGGGAAGGGATAGGGAATAGGCATGCAGAGGCAGGGATTTCGGGACAGGGAGGGCAATGTCCCTCCTCTTTAGCAGTCTTGTAATATTTCAAGCCCAAGCTAAGAAGCAAACTTTTCCCTTTTCTTTCTTCCCTGTGTTGCAATACCCTTGCCTGTACCCACCTGATTTAGTCACAGCTCATCCCCATAGCAACTCACGTTCCTCGCCAAGCTGTTAGGGTCTCTATCAGGAGAGGAGGGAAATGAAAGATTGGGCTGTTTTTCATTTGGAATCCTGTCTAGCGCCCTTATGTTCTGGTAGGCTCCTGGCAGGAGCCAAAAAGAAGAAATAACATGTGACAATTAGTCCAAACCAATCCTTAAGTATCCTGCATCATGTGCGTCGTTCAGCCCTGAGGACTCAGAATCTCCAAATATGTGTGTATATCTTTGCCACAAAGAGGAATGCAGAAGGATCTAAGCTCAGATCATATTAATGTTCCTGATCCTAATGGGAGGCTGGAACTATGCAGGGGGATGCAGAATGTCCTTGAGTGACTCTGTCTTCAAGTAAGAAAATCCCCAATGCATGAGACCTGAGACTCAAAATCAGTTCTCTGGACTTCGACGCTGACGCCCTTTGCATAACACCTGCTAATGTGTGTGCATGCATGCATTTGTGTGTGTGCACGTGCGTGTGTACATGCACACTCGTGCATGTGTGCACATGGAGTGTGATTGGACTTGCATGTGTAGGAGTGTATAAGGGCCAAGGGCTCACACAATCATAGGCAGAGCTGATTTCCCTTGATAATGCTGGTGTACCTCGATAACTAGCCTGCCAAAGGTAGAAGTAACTTTCGTGTTGTTTCTCTCAACTCCTCTACTTGACAGTGAGAAGGAACTTGGAAAAGTTGATCATCAGTTTCTCTATCAGACGTGCCCAGCAAAATTGTGCTACGCATAATACACCAGTAATTAACCTTGTAAACTTACTTTTTGAACAGCTCTCATCTATAGTTTACAATTAATTAGGGGATCCACAAGGGATTGATTCTGAAGAAGATAATTATGCCTCTTCCTGGGGTTATGGGGAGCTTCGCTAGGCAAGAGGTATCTTATTTTCCCCGGGAAATTAAACCAGCGCTCCATTATCAGATTATTTCTAAATGAGTAAAGGACTGAATTTTGACATCACGGTCTCATTTCGGCAGGAAAGAGACAAACTGACAAGCTGTTTTGTCACATGCTTCTTTGAGCAGAACATTTTGAGGAATGTCTCTGGGTCTGTCTGGGAAGAGGAGCCGCTGGGCAGGAAAAATGTCCCAGATGACCAAATGTGACGGGGCTATTTGCCAAGTAATCACCCCACGCCTGAGCACAGGAAAAGAGGAAATGCATTTCCATTTTCTGGTCTTGGGCCAGAGGGAGTTTGCTCAGGGTGGGGAGTCGGAGCACATTTGGTAAAATATTATGACCATTCTGCATGGCTATTGATGCTAGTGTACGCAGCGGTATGAAATCAACCGATTCTGCCTAATAACATTTTGCTCATCCGTAGCAGGCCCCCTCGGGATGGCCTTCCAGCTCGCACACCTGTCTTCCCCAGGAATGGCCCTCGTGACTCAGAGTGGTTGCCCTGCAGCCTCAGCCCGCCTAGCCAGAGCTGATCTGTCCCAAGTGAAGACACATGACCTCAGCTGGGCCAATCAGATTCTCTCCACCGGGAATTATGAATGAAGGCAGTTCCACTGGGAGCCTTGACTTTGATTGGCTCTTGGTAAGGACAGCTCCAGTGATGCGGTACTCCTCTTTGGAGAGAAGGGAGGTGGAAGTGAAAATCTGGAGCCTGGCTTTGGATCCAGACATTTCTGGGTTTGAATCCTGACCCACTTCTGGCTCCCGTCCCAGCCCTGTGACCTTCAGCAAGTGACTTAACCTCTCTGACTTCAAGTTCCTCACCTGGGAAAATGGAAATCAGGTAAAGAGAAAAAAAATATATTTAAAAACTATCTTAAAGCCACTTTTACTGGTTGTGAAATCTCTCGATAAATAGACTTTGGCTATATTGATAAACTCTTTGGTTTTGAAAAAATAGGCCTGAGGATGTACACGCCTGGAAATTCATAGAAAGAGATTTATTTTGTTCTAAAGAATGAAGTAAGAATCGCAGAGCCGCCATCTTGCATCCCCGCGTGTGTTTGCCTAACTCTGCTTGAACACTGAGTGCCAACCTGCCCCCTGCATGGCCCCTTTTCTGCTCTGACAAGATGAAAGAGACAATCATGAACTAGGAAAAACCCGCCAAACTTCAGGCACAACCGTGCATTGGTGGGAAAGAAATTGGTTGTAGAAAGAAGAAGGTGGTTCACAGAACAGCTACAGCAGATGATTAAAAAAACTTCAGCTCTTAAACAAGTTAGGGGCCGGCACAGCGGCTCACACCTGCAATCCCAGCACTTTGGGAGGCAGAGGTGGGTGGATCACCTGAGGTCAGGAGTTCCGGACCAGCTTGGCTAACATGATGAAACCCCGTCTCTACTAAAAAAAAAAATACAAAAAATTAGCCAGGCATGGTGGCAGGCACCTGTAATCTCAGCTACCCGGGAGGCTGAAGCAGGAGAATTTCTTGAACCTGGGAGGCAGAGGGTAGGGCTGCAGTGAGCCAAGATCGCACCATTGCACTCCATCCTGGGTGACAGAGCAAGACTCCATCTCAAAAAAAAAGAAGAAGAAGAAGTTAGGGGCAAACAATATCTGGTATTGAAGAGGTGAATACATTTACAAGTTAAAGTAGATCAAGGAACAGTGATCCGCTTTAACAATCCTAAAGTTCAGGCATCTTTGGCAGCAAACACTTCTTTCACCATTGCAGGCCATGCTGAGACACAGCAGCTGATGGAAACGCTACCCAGCATCTTAAGCCGGTGAGATGCAGACAGTCTGGCTAGTTTGGGAAGATGGGCTGAAGCTCTGCCCAAACAGTCTGTGGATGAAAAAGCACCATTTGCTACTGGAGAGGATGATGATGAAGTTCCAGCTCTTGCAGAGAATTTTGATGAGGCTTCCAAGAATGAGGCAAACCGAATTAAGCCAACTTCTGAAGAAGATAAAACCTGCAGAAATTACTGGGAGCTGCTATATTACATTAGGACTGCTTTTTTTTTTTTTTTTTTTTGACAGAATCTCACTCTTGTCGCCCAGGCTGGAGTGCAATGGTGCGATCTTAGCTCACTGCAACCTCCACCTCCTGGGTTCAAGCAATTATCTTGCCTCAGCCTCCCAAGTAGCTGACATTACAGGTGCCCACCACCACGCCCAGCTAATTTTTTTGTGTTTTTAATAGAGATGGGGTTTTACCATGTTGGCCAGGCTGGTCTCGAACTCCTGACTGCAGGGGATCCACCCATCTCAGCCTCCCAAGGTGCTGGGATTACAGGAGTGAGCCACTGCGCCTGGCCTTGACTGCTTTATAAAGTTGATATATGGATCTGGTAAAATCTAGATCTCTAATATTTTTAAGCCCAAGCCCCTTGGACACTGCAGCTTTTTGCTTACATACAATTCATTTTTGCTTATATACAATTCATTACTTGTAGGTAATTAAGCTGAAGAAGCCTGGAAATAAGGTTTGAAACAAAGCTTAATGAGGTTATTTGACTACTTGAAAGAAAAAAAAAAGAATTGTAGAGTTTCTAGAGTGAGTGGGCTTAAGGCAGGAGAGGGAGGAGGAGGCTCTTGGTGGGAGTGAGGAATGAGTCCCAGAAGATGGGAGAATCTGGGACTTCTGGAGAAAGTTTTCAAATTTCCTTCTCTGATTTTGCTTTCACCGAACCCAGAACCCAGGAGCCAGCAAGAGTTAGTGGGCAGTGCTCACAGAATTCACATACCCTTTTCTCTCGAGACCACATGCAAGGGTACTCTGGGTTTGGCACTTGCCAGGAAACTGGAAATCTTCCTCTTGAGCTTCATCATTCTTGGCAGGTTTTGAGTTCTAAATGAGCCAAATCTATCTAGCCCCTTTAGTGAAAAAAATGAGCTTTAACCGTGAGGGAAGTTGCCTTGGTGGTCCAACCACCAGACTTTCCCAGTGGAAGAACACGCCAGACTCTGTCAGTGGACAACCCTCCTGGGAAGTGGACCCGTTCTTCAGGCCATAACTCAGGGGGTCTCAAGTCCCTGCAGCAGCACACAAGACTCCTTATGGATCCCGAAGTTCCACAATGGCAGTTGTCTTTGCTCCCCCACCATTACTCCATCATTTCGTTAACTTTTTCTGAATTCTCAAGGCCAGAATTACATGGTTCAAATTGTCCCTTTCATCATATTTCCATCTTCCTGGTCTAATTCTGCTGAATGCTTTCTAGGCATACTGTATGGCTGCCATCCAAGGGCTTTGCTTTAGTGAATCCACTCTCTCTTGCGTCCTTTCCTAGTTTTTTGATTTACTTCCTTGTCTATCCAGAGCATACCCTCAAGTCACTTTTTAAAAAGGTACATGGGAAGTAAAGCTTCTGAGTCTTTGCTGTCCGAAAATGCCTTTATATTATCTTGGCATTCAATATAGACTATAGAATTTTAGAGTAAAAATTATTTTCCATCAGCACCTTGGTGGCATTTTCCCATTACCTTCTGGTGTTCAATGAGGCTGACAAAAAGTTTCTGATGCCAGGTTGACTTTGTTCTTTTGGGGGTGAACTTTTCTCTCTTTTTGTAAGTTTTATCTTCAGAACAGAGGTCAGCAAATTTTCTTCTGTAAAGGGCCAGATAGCAAATAGTTTAGACTTTGCAGGCATGTGGTTTCTGTTCTAACTGCTCAGCTCTGCTGTTGTAACATGAAAGCAGCCATAGGCAATACATAAACAAACAGACATAACCATTTCCAATAAAACTTTATTGACAAAAACAAGTGGTGGGCCAGATTTGGTTCATGAATTTAGTTTGCCAACCTCTCTGCTTTAGAAGGTCAAAGGGCATTCTTTTTATGCTTGACATTTTAAATTTTTCCAATGAACTGTCTATATATTATTCTTTATTCATTGACTATGCTTGAACACTTAGTGAAACTTCCAACACTGATATTCATGTCCTTTAGCTTTGATAAGTTTCTTAGTTTCTTACTTTTCTAAATGTATATATATACACTTTAATATATATAAAGTATATATTAAAGTGTATATATATATATATATATATATATATACACTTTAATATATATATATTTTAGGTATCCAATACCTGTTGAACCTCCCAGATTTATTCAGTATATCTTTTTTCTTCTCTCTCTCATTGTTTTCATCTCTTTTTGTTGTTGTTTTTATGTTTTTCTGAACTATTGCTTTTGACTTTTTAAAACAATCCTTTTACACATGTAAAAAATTTTGGCCATATATTTTTTAATTTTAACCGTTCCTTTTTGTCTTCTAATTGTTTCTGTTTTATAGAATCATTTTATTGTATAATGGATGCAACATCTTCTGGATTCTTCCTGAAGATACCAGAGGTTTTTTGTTTTTTTCTAATTGTCTTATATTTCCTGAATTGTCTCTAATCCCTTAGGGGTCAGTATTTTCCTTTATTATTGTTGAGTTATTCTCTTTTCTACTGCAAGTTGTTTTCCTTTAAAAATATCTGGTGTCCTGGTTGACAATTTGCATTTAAATTAAGGAATATAGAGTTGCTTCGGTAGCCTATGAGTATGAGGAGACCTTGTTAAATTGTGGAATTTGCTCTAAAATGTTGGTAAAGGAGCTGGCTTTAGAGATGGAAGACCCCTAAATACCAGAATATGGAGGTCTGTTTTCCTGGAGTGTGGTTGTTTTAAAACATGTCCACAGATTCTGGGGGATGCTCCCCTTCAGGAGAAGGAGCTTCATTCCACTTTCCTTGAGTAAGGATTGGGCTTAGTGACTTGATTCTGCTGAGTAGAATATGGCCAACGTGACTATGTGTGACTTCCAAGATTTGGTCATCAAAGGCAACTATTTCTTCTTTGTTGTCCCCCTTGGGGGAAGTCAGCTGCCATGCCATGAGGACACTCAAGGAACCCTGTGGAAAGGTTCATGTGGTAAGGAGCTGAGGCCTCCAGGCAACAGCCCTACGAGTGTGCCATCTAGAAAATGGATCATCCAGCCCCAGTTAAGTCTGTTTGTTTATGTATTGCCTATGGCTGCTTTCATGCTACAACAGCAGAGCTGAGCAGTTAGAACAGAAACCACATTCCTGCAAAGTCTAAACTATCTGCTATCTGGCCCTTTACTTAAGCCAAATAGTTAAGACTTTGTGGCCATGTGGTTTCTGTTCTAACTGCTCAGCTCTGCTATTGTAGCATAAAAGTAGCCATAGATAGTACATGAACAAATGCACATGGCCATGTTGGAAAACTTCAACCCTGGACGACATCTCAACTTCAGCCTTATGAGAAACCTTGAGCCAGAACCATCCAGCTAAGCTACTCTCAAATTCCTCATCCACAGAAATTGTAAGATAATAAATATATGTTGCTGTAAGTCACTATGTTTGGGGACATTTGTCATGCAGCAATAGATAACTAATACATGGACTATCAACTTTTTTGAGATTGACCCTTCGATATTTTACTCAGATAGCTCTATGTAGCTGCTAGGAGTTTTGGTCCAAGAGTGGATTAAGATATTTTATATAGAGATAATCAACTCAATTACCCTGATTTTAACTTCATATATCATTTCCATTTATATCTGAAATTTCTGTGTCCCAACTGCAGGGTTCTGGAAGGCAGATTACTTCCTGAACTGCGTCCATTTCCATGTCTACACTTAGTGTGGCTTCCTCTACACTACTTCACCTGTTGGCACCCATCCACCTGCTTCCTAGCTTCCAGAAACTTACTGATATCTCTTTTTTTCTGAGACAGAATTTCACTCTTGTTGCCCACCCTGGAGTGCAATGGCACGATCTTGGCTCACTGCAACCAATGCCTCCCAAGTTCAAGTGATTCTCATGCCTCAGCCTTCCGAGTAGCTGGGATTACAGGCCCCGCCACTACATCTGGCTAACTTTTTGTATTTTTAGTAGAGACGGTGTTTCACCATGTTGGCCAGGGTGTTCTCAAACTCCTGACCTCAGGTGATCCACCTGCCTCGGCCTCCCAAAGTGCAGGGATTACAGGTGTGAGCCACCGCGCCTGGCTAATTTATTGATATCTCTTGTCTGCTGATGTCTCTCTTCTTGTTGTCTTTATCAATCTGTGTTTATAACTTTTATGGGTCTTTTACTTTCATTTTAATAGGATCTCAGGTGAGAGAGGAAATACATAACTGTGGTTAATGTATACTTTTGATCCCACCTTTCTAGAATGGTCAAAGGTCTATAACTGGAAGCACATCAAGAAGATGCATGCAAAAGTCTGGATAATAAAGCTTCTGGCTCATTTTCACATCATGCAGAGCTGAGAAGCCAACCATGAATTGTGTGTCTTCCTTTTTAACCCCAAACTTTGCAGGTCTCATGGAGAATGTTGGTTCTGATTACCTCAGAGACAGAGGCTGTTCATAATTGTGGAGCATATTTTGCTTCTGCTAAGCCTTTCATTTCATACCCACAAGTTGAGCTCGTCAGCTATTTCCATGCGACAAAGCCTCTGATGAAGGCTGGGAGCCTTAATGAACAAATAATTAGTTTTAAGAACATAAGTCGACACAAAAGCCCAACTAATGCCTTTTTAATTGCTTTTGCTCTCACATCTTGAGAAAACACATATACCCGTGTCTCACGGAATCACGGTTATCTGTATTGGCAACTATGGCACGTCAGGGAATCAGAGGCCCCAGTGTCAGACAGGGATACTGTGGGGCAAAGAAGCTGGGCTTTGATTAGTCCATTTGCTGACCCTCAGAGCACCCCTAGAATTCTAGAATTCTAGGGATAGAATGTCTAACCCATGGACTCTTGAGATGGTTATAAAAATGGGTTCTTCTGGACCAGAGCTTCAAAAAGCCAAGGACATTCAGGCTCTAGAGCTTTTAAGGGGAAAACTTGGGGAGTGAGGTGGGGCGGGCAAGACATGGATACAGGCCAGGTGTGGTGGCTCATGCCTGTAATCCCAGCACTTTGGGAGGCTGAGGCGGGTGCAGTGGCTCTTGCCTGTAATGCCAGCCTGACCAACATGGTGAAACCCCTTCTCCACTAAAAATATAAAAATTAGCTTGGCATGGTGGCAGGTGCCCGTAATCCCAGCTACTCGGGATGTTGAGGCACAAGAATGGCTTGAACTGGGGAGGTGGAGGTTGCAGTGAGCCGAGATGGAGCCGCTGCACTCCAGCCTGGGCAATAGAATGAGACTCAGTCTCGGAACAAAAAAGAAAAGGAAAGGAAAGGAAAGAAAAGAAAAGGAAAGGAAAGAAAAGGAAGGGAAAGAAAGAAAAGAAAAAAAGAAAAGAAAAGAAAAGCTAAGCTAAGCTTTGGGAAGCCGAGGTGGGCGGATCACGAGGTCAGGAGATCGAGACCATCCTGGCTAACATGGTGAAACCCAATCTCTACTAAAAATACAAAAATTAGCCGGGCGTGGTGGCGGGTGCCTGTAGTCCCAGCTACTCGGAGGCTGAGGCGGGAGAATGGCGTGAACCCGGGAGGCGGAGCTTGCAGTGAGCAGAGATTGCGCCACTGCACTGCAGCCTGGGCGACAGAGCGTGACTCTGTCTCAAAAAAAAAAAAAAGAAAAGAAAAGAAAAGAAAACTGTCTCTAGTTTTTGTAGTAACAAAGTAACAAAGTAAAGTAACGAAACTAGTAACAAAGTAAAGTAACAAAAACTAGAGATAAGTTCTCATTCATAACTAGAGATAGTTTTTGTTACTCCTGAGATGAAAGAAATTCTTTTTTAAAAAAATTTATTTATTTATTTTATTTTTTTGTTGTTTTCTTTTATTTATTTATTTATTTATTTATTTTTTATGGCAGTCTTCATACTTAGCCATAAGAGCTATATGACATGATACATGCTTTCTTTGTTCTTAAGTTTAGGTGTGAAGGTTATATTCTCATGAGGTAATAAGGAAAATGAACAAATAGTCTGACAAAGAAAATAATTCTGTGATTGGTTAGGCAACGGCAAATGGATAGTGCACTGCAACAGAGAAAAAAGGGAGATCTTTTTTGAAGGGTGTGATTGGGAGTCTGAAAATTATACACTCAAAGGGTCAAGAATTAGTTCTAAAGGTTGGATAGAGGGGGAGGAATTTCGCTCTCTATTCTAAATTGTTTTAGGTTTTTTCTTTCAAGAATGTCACTTTTGTAATAATTTTATTAATAATTTAAGTAAATGATGTTTCAAAGCTTGCTATCTTTTGTGCCTCCCACTCTCTTTTGCTCACTTTTTTACTCAATAACTTTTCCAATTCACTGGCTCTGTGTCTGCCCCTGAGTGGACCTCTTTTTTTCTCTTTTTCTGAGACGGAGTCCCTCTCTGTCACCCAGGCTGGAGTGCAGTGGCGCAAATCTCGGCTCACTGCAACCTCCGTCTCCCGGGTTCCAGTGATTCTCCCACCTCAGCCTCCTAAGTAGCTGGGACTACAGGCACCTGTCACCACCCCCGGATTTTTTTTTTATTTTTAGTAGAGACGGGGTTTCGCCATGTTGGCCAAGCTGGTCTGGAACTCCTGACCTCAGGTGATCCACCTGCCTCAGGCTGCCAAAGAGATGGGATTACAGGCATGAGCCACAGTGCCCGGCCGTGGGTGAACCTCTAAGTAAGGAAACAGAACCAGTTCCTTGAGGCCTTTGAGTGTCTCATAGATCAGTGAAAGAAGTGCTTGACAAAAGTAGCTGCTCCGTAAATATTAATTGAATGAATAAATACATTATATTTACATGGAGTACAATCATTTGACCTGCTTTTCCCAGCCTCACCGTGTTGTAACCATCTTCCCACGTCAGCGCATAATCAAGTTTCTATAAGCAGCTGGAGGACGAGGATTTTTTCTGTTTTAATCACCCAGGGGACTTACAAATAGGGGAATATTCACAGATGAATAAGCCATCGTCTTGTCCCCACATACTTCACTTTTTTTGTGAATTACCAGTTCATGCCTTTGGCCCATTTTGCTCAGCATCTAGAATAGCACCTGGCACATAGCAGGCATTCAGTGAATGTTTGTTGCATAAATGAATGCTCATAAGCATTTCTCTAATAGGTCGTGGTATGGTTAGACTCTGTAACCAAAGAGCAAGGTTGTTGTCATGCAGTCCTGCAGTGACTTTGGATGTGTCACTTAAACTTCCTGAGTCTTAATTTCTTCAGCTCTAAAATGGAGATAATAACATACATCCCATGGAGTTGACATGAAGGTTAACTCAAGTGAAGACTTTAAGTGCTCTGTGTGTGTGTCCGGGACCCTGAGTAGCAGATAAGTGAGAGCAAGGCATATTTAGGTTACCCTCAGTGTTCACCTTCTTGTAAATATACGTATGTACTTTTGCAATTATTTCCTTCACTAAATTTGTAGGCATGGAACTGCGGTGTCATAGAGCATGTGCCATTTAAATTTTGCTACTAGCAACAGGTTGCATCTGGGAAAGTTGGTACAATTTACTGTCCTGCTGGTACTGTTGTTTTTATTTTCTCCAGTCTGGTAGGTTCAAATGACTTCACACTGTTGTGTGATGTTGCATTCCTTTGATCTCAAGGGAGGTTCAGCATCTCTTCATCTGTGTAACTTGTGTGAAAGCCAGGTCCCCGTGGCTCAGCATGGAGTAGCTTAATCAGAGAAGCACAGACATGTAGCCTAAAGTAATTAAAAAGGAATCAGGCTTTACTTGTGTCTCTCAAAGAACATTAAATAAATTCTCATTAATAACTAAAAATGACTTCTCCAAAGCTATTTCCCTTCCTCCCCAGTTTTCTCACCCCTGCAGACAGAAGTGGCTCAAGAGAGCTGGGGGTTGGGGGAACTATTCATAAATTAATAAGTCATGTCCTTGTCACATGCGTTTCACATTTTTCATGAGTTGCCAGCTCATGCCTTTGGCCTTTTTTCCTATTGTGACACATGTATTTGTCTTTCTTTCTTTCTTTCTTTCTTTTTTTTTTTGAGACGGAGACTTGCTTTGTTGCCCCTGCTGGAATGCAATGGTGTGATCTCACCTCACTGCAACCTCCGCTTCCCAGGTTCAAGCTATTCTCCTGCCTCAGCCTCCTGAGTAGCTGGGATTACAGGTGCATGCCACCACACCTGGCTAGTTTTTGTGTTTTTAATAGAGACAGGGTTTCACCATGTTAGTCAGGCTGGTCTCGAACTCCTGACCTCGTGATCCGCCTGCTTCGGCGGCGGGATTACAGGTGTGAGCCACGGCGCCTGGCCATATTTGTCTTTTTGATTTGCCTAAATCTATTTACATATCTGCTGACAGCAGATCAAGTAGCGGTCTCCCCTGCAGCAGGTGGGTGGCAAAGTCCCACGTCCTTGGCTTGAATCCTCCATTGCGGGATTCCAGGAATTCCTGGTTCCCTGAAAGAATCGCTGAAACCTGCAACTTCCCCCTTCTGATTATTTCCTGCCTCCATCTCCCCTTCTCTTCTTTTAGCTTGGATCTTAGGGGTATCTGTGTATAGATAGCAGTGGAGTTACCATGGAGATCTAGGCTACATTAAACCCTGTAAGTGGGTGATGGCCAGTATCTTTTTTTTTTTTTTTTTTGACACAGACTAAATCAGAATAGAAAATATAAGAATGCATCAGGTGGTAAAGGTAAGTGTTTTTTAAAAAATAAAATACAATATAGATGATTATGCTGCCTCATGCTTACTCTGGTTCTATAACAGCCACTGAAATTCAGTGAATTAGTCCTTCAGGTACTGGGCTGTGGGTTTGGGATTTTGATTTTTTTAAATCATGCCTGTTGAGATGACCTACAGTTAGCCCACCTCTTTCTAGTCTTATTGGCCATGCCAGGAGCCTGTTAAACTAAGTCTGTCTCTACTTGCCCAGATCACACCACTCCCAATGACTTGTTGGTACAACCACCACCATGTTCTGCATGCAGCCTGTACACACACCAGCTTGCCAGCTGGGATGCTACCCCCTTTCACTCGAGGGCCCTGTTGCCTTGAGTTGAGAGATTCCACAGGGCTCTGTTGGAAAACCTTCCTGCCAACATTTCAAATGGGACCATCTTTTTCTTGTATGAATTGTGAGCCATTTTTTTTTTTCTTACTGACCACTTTTCCTCCTTCCATTCAGGGAGGAGGCTTCATTCCTCCCAGATACTCTCCGATTTTTCTGTCTACTGCAGGCATTGCTCTCTGTCTCAGGGATCTTAATTTTCTGTTTCTTTGGTCATTTCAATGCAGTTTTGGGAAGAGTAAGGTAATGATATGGTTTGGCTCTGTGTCCCCACTCAAATCTCATTTTGAATTGTACTCCCATAATTCCCACATATTGTGGAAGCGACCTGGTGGGTGATAATTGAATCAAGGGGGTGGTTCGCCCATACCATTCTCGTGGCAGTGAATAAGTCTCATGAGATCTGATGATTTTCCTCATTCTCTCTTTGCCTGCTGCCATCCATGTAAGGCGTGACTTGCTTCTCCTTGCCTTCCACCACGATTGTGAGGCTTCCCCAGCCACATTGAACTGTAAGTCCAATTAAACCACTTTCTTTTGTAAATTGCCCAGTCTTGGGTATGTCTTTATCAACAGGGTGAAAATGAACTAATACAGGTAAATCCTTGAGTTTTAAGTTCACAGTCTTGAAAGTGGAAACTAGATATTTTTTTAAATCGAGGTAAAACTCACATAACCTAAAATTAACCATTTAAAAGTGAATGACTCAGTGGCATTTTGTGCATTTACAACGTTGTGCATTTAGCACTTTCATCAGTGTTTCCAGCTAATAAGAAGAAATTTAACATTATTCAAATTTCAGTTGTGTCCACCTTTGAGTCATTGGTAAAAATGTTAAATAGAACCAAGGAGAGAGAACCATGGGAGAGAGAGAGAGCTCTGCAAATATCTTTCTCATTTGCCCTGATTTCAGTCTTAACATCCAACTCCAAATCAGCCCAAGAGCAACTCATCCTTCCCGCTAACAACTAGATTGGGACATCATGCAATTATCCCCTCTATTTGGGTCCAAAATATTTTCATCACTCCAAAAGGAAATCCTGTACCCATTAAGCAGTTTCTGTTGCTCTCCAATCCTCCTTCTCATCAGCTCCTGGCAATCACTAGTCTTTGTTCTGTCTCAATAGCTTTACCTATTATGAATATTTCATATAAATGGAGTTGTATAATGTGTGACCTTTTGTGTCTGGCTTCTTTCGCTTAGCATAATGTTTTCCAGGTTTATCCACTTTGCTATCATTCATTCCTTTTTAATGGCTTAATAATACTTTATTCCTTTTTGAGTTAATACAGTGCTTCATTACTTTTAATATTTTAATAATATTTCATTATATGTGCATGCCACAATTTGTTTCCCCATTTGTTCATTGATGGACATTTGGGCTGTTTCTACCTTTTGAATATTGTAAATAGCGTTGCTCTGAACATGTGTTTACATGCATTTGTTTTAGTAACAGTTTTCAGTTCTTTTAGGTATATGTATATATATGAGAGGAATCACTGAATCATACAGTAGTTTTTTTTTTTTTTTTTGGTACAGGGTCTTTCTCTGTCATCCAGGCTGGAGTGCAGCGGTGTGATCATGGCTCACTGCAGCCTCGACCTCCCAGGCTCAAACAATCCTCCCACCTCAGCCTCCTGAGTAGGTAGAACTATAGGCATGTGCCACCACATCCGGCTAATTCTGTTTATATTTTGTAGAGATGAGGTCTCCCTATGTTGCTCAGGATTATCTCAAATTCTTGAACTCAAGCCATCCTTTTGCCTCAGCTTCCTAACATGCTGGGATTGCAGGCATGGGCTACTGCACCCAGCCTCATGTAGTAATTTTATGATTAACTTTTTGAGGAACCACTGCGCCATTTTCCGCAGTGGCTGAGCCATTTTACATTCCCACCAGCAATGTATGAGAGTTCTAATTTTTTCACATCTAATTTTTTCACATCCTTGCCAATTCTTATTATTATTTTAAAAAATTATTACAGCCATCCTAGTGGGTGTGGAGTGGCATCTCCTTGTGGTTTGATTTGCATTTCTGTAACGATTAATGCGGTTGATCATCTTTTCCGGTGTTTGTTGGCCATTTGTGTATCTTTTTGGAGGAATGTCTATTCAAGTCCTTTGCCCATTTGTTGTTGAGTTTTAAGAGTTCTTTATATGTTCTGGATATTAGACCTGGTTTTGACTTCTGTCTTTCTCTATGTTCCCATCTAACTGTTTATGGGAAAGATGAGCTTCATGTGGGCTGATTTGGAGTTGGATGTTAAGACTGAACTGGGGGCAAGTGAGAAAAATGTCTGCAGAACTGTTCTCCAGCTCTCTGTGCTTGGCTCTGTTCTATTTAGCATTTTTACCAATGACTCAAAGGTAGACACAACTAAAATTTGGATAATGTTAAGTTTCTGCTTATCAGCTGGAAACACTGATGAGTGCCCATGAAGAAATTTTCATAGAGGATTAGTTCTTTGCTGAACAGAGCCTCAGTGACTTAAGGATCTCACAATCTGGGGATCTCAAATGTAAAATGGCCACCAGAGGAAGGGAGGTACCTGATGTTCTGCAGGATGGCATCTTCACTTAGGGGAGGGGTGTACTCACTATTACAGGTGATGTATGTGTGAGAGAATCAGAAGTGGAGGAGGGCTTAAGCCCATTTTTAGGAATTAAAGCCAGTGAGGTGTTCCATGGAGGGTATCTAGTGATCATCTCAGAGAGGGCTTTAACTGTGAACAAAGGGCCAGACTTTATGGACTTTGTAGAATTCTAAGACTAATGTGATTTCCTCATATTAATTACGCTATTACTCCATGTAGAATTTCTCTCAGTAATCATTAGCAAAACTCTTAAAATGCAAAGGACCTGTACTTGTCTTTGGGGGTATGGAGGAAAGGAATAGCTGTAGAGGCCAGATCTCCAACCATAACAGGCTGTGGGGGATCCTGAAGGGATACAGTGAATGTTGGGGCTACTGTGGGGGAGTATGTTTTGCCTCCTTATCACTAGATGGTCTGATGCAAGGAGAGGAACAGCCAATACTTAGGTGTTTGAGTCAGATTCCAAGATGACTTCGATGGGTTGAAACAACTGGTTGAAATTAAGAAAGAAAAGTAAAGAAGTTGAAGGGATGAGCAGAATAAATATAAACTCCCACAGTTGGGTAAAACTCAATTGCATACTTACAGGATGAAGGAGAACAGGCTTGAAAAATTTTCCATGAAGAGGACTCCGGGTTTTGGTTGTTGGCATGTCAAGGTTGTAAAAATTTGACTGCAATGGAGAGTACGTTGTCCAGATCATGGGAAGCCAGGATCCTAGTCCTTTCTGGGCTTGAGTTGATTTCACATGGAATTATATATCCACTGCTTGGGGCCAGCATGTGAAGGGGCCTATTAGTCATGGGGCACTAGAGAGTTTTCAGAGCAAGGTGACAAGGACAGCAAGAGCCTGGAAGCCATATATTACAAGGTATGGTTGGAAAATCATGCATTGTTTGGAAAGGAGAGCCCATAGTTTTTGGCCTCACCTGCATCAAGCACTACCGTGAGGGTGTATTAGTTTCTTATTGCTGCCACAACAAATGACCACAAACTTTGTGGCTTATGACAACACAAATTGATCTTACAGTTCTAGAGGTTGGAAGCCTCACTAGGCTAACAACAAGATGTCAACAGAGCTGTGTTACTTCTGGACACTCTAGCAAAGAATCTGTTCCTCATCTTTTCCAACTTCCAGAGCCATTCCTTGGTGCAGGTCCCTCTTTCATTTGCAAAGCAGTGATCTTGACACTCTGAGCTCTGCTTCCTCCTTCTTGTTCTCCTGCTTTCCTCTTTCCCTTATAAGGAGGCTTGTGGTTGCATTGGACACTCCTGGAAGATCCAGGTTAATGTTCCCATCTGAAAGTCCTTAATTTAATCACACCTGCAAAGTCTCTTTTGCCATGTAAAGCAACATATTCACAGGTTCCGGAGATTAGGATGTTCACATCTTTGTCTGTGTGTGTGTGTGTGTGGGGGGGGGGGGGCGGTTATTATTCTGCCTATCATCAATGGCATAAATGGAAAAGTGTTTTCTTTTTTTTCTTTTGCATTGCTCCAGGAAACAGAACCCAGGCTAACAGGTGTAGGTCACAGAGGGAGACGTTTGGAACTAAGACAAGGCAACCCTACCTCATAGACTGGAATTTCTACAACAGGAGAGGAGGGCTTAAGAGGGAGTGGTCCTGCCCTCTTGGGATCATTCATGTAGAGGATGACTTTTTGCTTGGAATGATGGTTCAGCAGGATTTCCTGTACTGGGTGAGATGTTAGACTAAATGACATAGATAGTTCTTCCCAATTTTAAGAGTATGAATTTTACATAGACTGTTTATTACATAGACTGTGTCATTTGTGTTGTTTGGTTCATGATTCAGGAGACTAGACAACGCTTGCCACATGGGATGTGATAAGCCACAGGCATGCCCAGGGCAGCAGACTCTGGCTGTGTCCTGCGGTGCCCCATCAGCACTCACCAATGCTGCATGGTCCAGCATCTGACTGCAGGCAATGTCCAGCATCTGACTGCAGGCAACGATGACGCTTTGCCAAGGGCTCTGCTCAGGCCAGGTGCAGGCCAGGCTGCAGTGCTTGGAAGTCAATGCCACCAGGAGCAGCTCTTGGTTGATGACAAAAAGAAATGGGTGAATAAAGAACTCAGTTTAGGCCAGGTGCAGTGGCTCACGCCTGTAATCTCAGCACTTGGGGAGGCCGAGGCGGGCGGATCATGAGGTCAAGAGATGGAGACCATCCTGGCCAACATGGTGAAACCCCGTCTCTACTAAAAATACAAAAAATAAGCTGGGTGTGGTGGTGTGCACCTGTAGTCCCAGCTACTCGGGAGGCTGAGGCAGGAGAATCGCTTGAACCTAGGAGGCGGAGGTTGCAGTCAGCTGAGATTGTGCCACTACACTCCAGCCTGGCAGAGTGAGACTCCATCTCAAAAAAAAAAACAAAACAAAACAAAACACAACAGAAAAAAACAAATAAACAAAAAACAAAAACAAACAAAAAAGAACCCAGCTTCCTAACCCTGGTAGTAGTTATGGGAGGGGGTGCTACATAGCTACATCTCAGCTTCCCAGGTGGTCACCTGCTCATGAAGTCACTTGGGGGAAGTATGGGCTTCTGTCCCTTCCCTGACTCACTTTCCCATTCTCTAGAACACTTTCTAGATCATCTCCCAAACAGACCTCCTGTTCTCAAATCCTTATCTTCAAATAAGCTTCTGGGAGGAACCCAGGCTAGGATACAACAGAAGGTTTTCAGGGGAAATAAATCCTTCCCTGACAAGATATGATGTGAGCTAGGGGTTTCCTATAGGCAACACCCCTCCTTCCAATACAGAAAATCTCAGCATGATAGTCCCATCTTCATTTCAAGAATTCTAAAATAGGCTCCTGCCTTTCCTAGCCATATGTAAAGTTTTGCTCTCAATGCTACATGAAGAAAAAATCTCCTTATCACAAGGAGTCATGTGCTTATTGGCATTTGTCTATGAAATGCGTATAGAATTTCAATGGTTGTAGAGCTGGTTGTGGGGAAAATGAGATGTTCTGGGATTCCAGAACTGATTTTATTTTTTTCACTCCAAGCACCTAGTTGATGAAGTGCAGGTGGCTTTTTTTCTTCCAGTTCAAGTTTTCTTAGCCTATCCATTTATTGGGGAAAGGGGAGGTATATTTGGAGTTGTTAGCTTGGTCATAGCCCTCTGTTCCCCTTCAGCCCCATGGACAAATGAACCAAGGCCTGCTGATGCAACTGGCTTTATGGTGGAACATGGGGTTGTGTGTTCTTTGTCCTGCCTGCTCTGGGGGCTCACCACAGCTGTGAGTCCCAGGTCAGTCTTGAGCTCTTTCTCAGTGCCCCAGTGTTGGCAATACCCTGAACCGTTGGCTGCCTGCTATCTTTGGCACTTTGCATTTCTCTGATAGTCACATCTTTACACCCCATGAGTCCCCCACTGTCACCTACTGTATTGGTCAGGGTTCTCCAGAGAGACAGAACCAGTAGGAGAATTGGTTCATGTGATTACAAGGCGAAGTCCCACGATAGTCTGTCTGCAAGCTGGGGAAAGAAAAGCCAGTAGCGAGGCTCAGTCCAAGTCCAAAAACCAGAGAAGCCCACAGTGCAGCCCCCAGTCTGAGTCTGAAGTCCCAAGACCCCTGGGATGCTGCTGGTGCACGTTCCAGAATCTAAAGACCAAAGGATCTGGAGTCTGATGTCCAGGGGCAGGAGGAGAGGAAGCAAGTATCCAGCACAGCATGGGAAGAGATACAGCAGAGAGCAAGCAGACTCAGCAAGCAAGCTGCTTATCCCCCTTCTTCTGCCTGCTTTGTTCTAGCCACGCTGGCCGCCGATTGCATAGTGCCCACCCACATTGAGGGTGGGCCTTCCTCTTCCAGTCCACTGACTCATGTGTCATCTCCTCTGGCAACACTCTCACAGACACACCCAGAAACAACACTTTACCAGCTACCTAGGCATCCTTCAATCCAGTCAAGTTGACATCTACCATTCACCATCACAGCTACCCTCTGAGTTCCTGACTTGGGGATGCCGAGATGTTTGGGTTCATCCTCCGTTTCCTCTTCGGCTCCCTCTCAGGCGTAGACATATACCTCACTGATCCATCCATACTCCCAGGGTCTGGGTGTGAAAGAAACATCTGTGGGTTTCCAACTTCAAAACTCCAGCCAGCAAACAGCATATAGGTCTCCGATTTTTTCAAATCCCACCTCCCCACCTCAATTTCAGAGGGAACTCACCTATTTCTTTTCGCTCCCTCTTCCTGTCCTGTAAGCAGGGCAGTAGATGACTTAGCTATGCTGTGTCAGATTCACTTCTTTCCCTCCAACTCTTCTCCCTTCTATTAACGTGGAACCTTTTTACACAGAACAAGGCAAGAGAGGTGGGCATGAGGGCTAATCAGTCCCGCCTGAACCCATCAACTTTCACATCTCACATCCCTTGTCTCTAGCTCAGAAGCTGAGAAATGGGTGCCTTGGGTCCCAGCAATTCACACTTTGGAGCAAATGGTGACTGCAGTTCACATGTCTAAATGGGGGTGGCCTGTGTGTGTGTGAGGGGGCAGAGCAGTCTGTCCTGTCTGATGTCCCAGGCTTTTTCTCCATGTAAATCATCCCCTAGCCCTAGGTGGCTTGAAACAGCAGGTATGAACAGATGGCAGTGGCTTCTCAGCATCCTGTGTTCCTGGGGTGAGTCCAGCCACAGAGAGAGAGGGGATTCACAGTAGCCACCAGGTGAACAGTGCCATCAAAACTCTGAACTGTGTCTCAGCAATGGCCTGGGGGCCCAGCCGAGAGGAGATGTTCACCAGGAAACTTGCCCAGCGTGGAACTCAGTGGCCTCCACCTCAGTAATCGAAAGCACATTCTAAATACATCTCTCAGTGACTCCTGCCTCGTGGTTGTTTGGTGCATGATTGGACAGATGGAGAGGTGGGCTCCCCAGTGGGTCTGGAGCGTGGGCTTCAGAGAGTGCTAATGTTTCTCAGATCTCCTCTGCAAAGTGCCAACTGTGGAAACACTGAAGCTCAGGCCAGGAAATGGAAACACACTGCCAGGTGGCAGGATGGGCTGCTTCTTAATTAAGGAGCCTCCCCAGCTCGCGGGTGACGGGTGTGGTTTGTAAATAGTTTATGCACCTGTTACATCCACGTGTTGCGGGACTGCTCCTGGGCTTTGTCCAAGTGGGGTCCAGGCCTCCTTCGCCAGAACAATAGTAGAAATAATATGTGGTCTTTATGGAACATTTATAGTCTACCAAGCTTTGTGCAGTGTGAGCCCCTTTACCTGCATTATCTCATCGAATCCTCCTAGCAACCCTAGAGGTAGATGTGTTATTAAGCTCATTTTATATGTGGGAAGCTGACAGCAAAAGGTTAAGCAAACAGCTCAAGCTCACAGAGCTGGTGGGAGAGTGAGTCAGAACTCAAACTTGTAATTAGACAAACCTGAATTTGGAGCCTCAGTTCATCATGTGTGAAACAGGGTAATTCTATCTACCTCACAGGATACTGTAGGGATGAAAGAAAAGTATGTGGACAAAAATCTACCAGCTTGGAATGTGTCATTGAGTGACAATTTGGTAAATGTTTGAATGCCTATTGTGAAGGCTAATTTTATGTGTCAACTTCACTAGGACATGGTGCCCATATATTTGATCAAATACTATTGCATGTGTTCCTGAAAAGGTATTAACACTTAAATCAGTAGACATGGAGTAAAGCAGATCGACTACCCTCCATAATGTGGGTGGGCCTTATCCAATCAGGTGAAGACCTTAATAGAAAAAGAGCGACCTTTTTCTGTTAAGAATAGAAAGCACTATGCTGGAATAAGAGTGAATTCTTCCAGCACAATAGTACCATAGTGCCTTTGGACCAGAACTGCAGCTCTTCCAGCACAGTAGTGCCTTTGGACCAGAACTCCAGGCTCTCTGTGTACCCTGAAGATTTGCAGCTTATCAAGTATCTACAATCATGTGAGCCAACTCCTCAAAAATATTTTCTCTCTCTCTCTCTCTCTCTCTATATATATATATATACACACACACACACATACATATGTGTATGTATGTATCTCTCTCTGTCTCTCTCTCTTTCTATATTATATATATATACACACACACACACACACACACACACACACACACACACACACACATTCTATTGATTCTGTTTCTCTGGAGAATCCTGACTGAAACACCTATGAATACAACTATGAATAAGAGAATGTTTTAATAATATATGGTTTACCTGTATGGTATAATATGCAATTGTTAAAAAGAACAACTTATGCCTATGTATTTTTAGAGGAGAAGAAAACCAGAACACGTGTGTGTGTGTGTGTGTGTGTGTGAGTCTCTATGTTTCCCTGTGAGCATAGAGAAATATGTGAAAGGATACATGCCTGAGGGATGATGGTGGTGGTTGTGGAAGTCTTATTGGGGTAGGGAAGGATATTCACTTTTTCTTTCTACACTCGATTGTTTGATTTTAGCATATGTTATTTGTGTCGCTAAAAGGATAATAAAGTAGATAAGTGTGAACATTTTGTTGATTTAAAATTGTCCTCTTCTGTGACTGGAGGCGGTGGGGACAGCATAGCACAAGTCTGTCTGTATCTATTTGTTTTGTGCTGATCTATATTGAGAATATACCCTATCTGGAGGGAGTTGACTGGTGGTGCCTTGAGGCTGCTTTGATTAATACCGCCTCACCTACACAGTACCCTGGCCTATGTAAGTATCTGAGTCCAGCTGTGATTTTAAAGGAATCTCCTTCCACAATTCCTGACCTTGGTTTTCGGGGGTCTGGACAAGTTTGATGGCCCATCGGGTGCAGTTAGGGCAGCCAAGCGTTGCTCTTCCATTGCTGAAAGGTATTAATGCTTAAACCCTCCACCCTCATCTCTGGGATATGTCAACAAACAGCACCAAGCAGGGACTAGGTGCTGGGTGCTGTCCCGGGTGCTGAAAAGTCAAAGAGGGCCAGATTTCCACTCACTATCAACTTTGACTGAAGGTTTACTAGGCAGAGTCATTCTGGAAGCCCAGACAAGTGGGAGCATCTGATCAGAGTGGCCTGGCTTTTGGAATGTGGCCAATTGGACATTATCAGGGAAATGTCAAGCGACTTGAACTTCTTGCCTTCCATCCTTTTGTAGGGTCAGCTGCTCACAATTGGAATTGACTGTTGGCTTGACTGACTTAGTTGAATCAATGTGTGCTTTGTTCCTTCTGCCAACACCAATCTCCCACCTCCATATCCATAGAAGAGCAGGGTCTTTCTCACCTAAGATTATAGAGGATGCCAAAAGGAAGTGAGAGCCCCCCAACACCTTCTCAAGCCAGCCACCTTGAAGCAATTCATTCCAACAAACGTTCACCTGAAAAACAATTTGCAATTGCCAATTGCAGGCAA
Source organism: Homo sapiens (assembly GCF_000001405.40). Classification (NCBI taxonomy): domain Eukaryota; kingdom Metazoa; phylum Chordata; class Mammalia; order Primates; family Hominidae; genus Homo; species Homo sapiens. The sequence goes on along the minus strand of NC_000017.11, from coordinate 6,303,418 downwards.
GACTCTGCCCTGGGACCAAGTGTGATGAAGGTCAGATATTTCTGGCAAATAGAGGATTCTAAAGTACATAAAAATGAAGAAGGGCCTCTCCATGAAGTGCACATCAAGACCACCTGGGAGGATGGAAAAATGCAGGTACTTGCACTCTTTTTAAAATCCCAGGGGAAAAGCACTGTGATAGTGCTGTGGGATGAGTGTTTGTTCTATTAGTCATTCCCTATGTCTGAAATGTTGGATGCAAAACAAGGAGGGATGAGAGAAGAGACTGAAGACACTAGCCATGTCACAGTGGGGCTGGCAATCTGCAGACCCAGCTGCAGTGGTTGCCAAGGTGTCTCCTTTCACATTCCACATCTTGTCTGTATCTTGGTGAAGAGCTGATGAGAGGGTGACAATAACCAGCTCGTGTAATTATCACCCCTGTCTTAGTGAAGATGGGCTGTGTTTGGATAATAGCAGGAGTCCTGAGCGGCAGCTAGAAGCCACAGGTGGTTGAGATGCAGATCAAGTTCTGAGCCATCACTGGCTTTAGGGATGATGCATGCTGGAACCAGTACTTGTCCATCCTTGAGTGTGGAGAGAGAGGAGGCTGTCAGTCAAATCTGCAGCTGGGGTCTGCAGCATGCAGGGAAAGAGCAATGCCTGGGCATCAGGAGACCAGGGCATTTAGCCTTAGCTCTGACAGTAACTTGCCATGAATTGGGCGAAATGACTCCTCCCCACTTCCCCATCTCTGAGCTCTTTTTAAACTTGAGTAGGTGATTCCAAATGAGCTTTTATGTTCCCTCCTTATTTTGACAGTTTGTGATCCTCTAAACTTCTGATATCAAGATATAGCCAAACAGAAACAAACCAAATCATTATATCTAAGGAACATTAGTTATATAAATTTTTAAATTACAAAAGTAATATCTGCTCATTATAAATATTCAACTGACACAGAATAAAAAGCAAAATCCCTTATCTCCCCATACTATTTCCCAAAAGCAACAACTGCTAATAGTTTGGGGACGTTCTTTCCTCAGCTTTTACTATGATGTCTCTATTTTTTAAATTGTGAACTTTACCACTGAACTCCAAAATTTAAATAGTAGGAGACTAGACTGACTCTGAATAAAGACTTAGAAGCTACGAACTGGAACTCTTCTCTCCCATTCTGCACAGATGTGGGTCAGTGAGGCAGAGCTGGGATTATGTGGCATTGTTAGGAGGAGCACCAGTGGCGGGAAATCTTTATCTTTAGTCGTAACAAAGGCTCTGGGCTGGGTGGAAAGATCTGGAAGTGCCCACCATATTCCCTTTCACAAAGGTGTTGATTGTGCCTTACACTCCATTAGGCTGGAAATTGCACTTGCTTGTTAATTTCTTAAGCTTCAAAACTTTTCACCCTGGCCTCAGGCTCTCTGCACAGTTTGCTAAAGAAATGCTGTCAATTCACCTCATTTGGTCTGCTTATGGCTGATGACTGGTTTGCTCAGGTTTTTGGTGTTGATCTCTCTCTCTCTCTCTGTATATGTGAGAGTATATTTGTGTGGAATTGTCTGAGGTAGGTAGGTTTGTGGGAAAGGACTGCTGTTGTCTGCCACAGTGGACTTTTATTCAAGATGGTGCCCAGTGGCCATTTCAGTGGAGTCTGAATGGCCTTCATGGTGGCTGGACCCCTCAGTGTGGAGAAAAAGAAGAGAGCCTGTCCTGCAATAAGACTTCTGTGCCTGCTTGGGGGTGCTCTTGTGTGGCGGCGAGACTTAAGTTTGGTCAGCTGGGATTAGTTCTTCCCCAGATCCCTCATGGGATCTGCCCTGACTGGAGGGTGAGAGGCATGAGGGCTGCCATGAACAGGTCGGGGCTGAGCTCATGATGACCTGCCCACACATAGCAGCCAGGGGGTAGTCATCCATGCACCTCAAAGCCGTTTGTGGTGTTGATGCACTGAGGCCCCAGCCCTGCCTTACTCCTTCCTCCAGATGTGGCCAGACTGATGTGGCTCCATTTATTATTACTATTTTTTTTTAAAAAGCAGAAACATATACATATTTTTCTCCGTATTGTTTCCCCCACTCAATATTTTGTATATATCTTTCCAAGTGAATAGATATAGATCTGCTTCATTCTTTGTAAAAGCTGTGTAGTATTCCACAGAATATAAGATTTTCTTTTTTATTATAAACAATTCTACAATAAACACCCTTGCCCATACATCTTTTGAACTGGTACTTTTATTTCAGTTGGATGGATCCCAGAAGCAGCATTGCTCCTGGGTCAAAAGGACTTAACATCTTTAACTTTAATAAATTTTGCTAGATTACTCTCTAAAATGGTTGGGATAATTTACAGTTCCACCAACAGAGTTTGTGAGTGTCTCTTTCTCCCTGCCCTTGCCAGCACTACATGTTATCAGTCTTCTTAAATTCGGAGGTTAGGAAGTGGAACCATTTTTTTTCATTTGCATTTCTCTGAAAACTAATGGGGTTTAATTTAGTCTTAAGTTTTACTCTGTGCATTCTCTTTACAGATGGGCTGGGTTGGGGTTGCATGTGAGGATAGAAGGTGAAGATATTTTGGAAGGTCAAAGAGCTTGGAGAAAATGGGGTGTGTCCTTGATTATTTTCCGATCACATGGGGTGATCTGGTGGTGTCTGGTGTTACCAAATGCATACAGATGAAAGCATGGGATTATGGCACAAAACTGAAGCAGCTTAGAAAAATGAAATTGGGGTTGCCTTCTTCATTTTCAGAGTTGAGCATAAATTGATGGGCTTTTTGAGGAGTTAGTGAGCTCTTCATTCCCAGAAGGATTTAAACAGATATAAGAAGACTGACTTCTATTTATTTCTTAAGGATAGAGTGGTGAATAAGACAGGCATGGTCTTTGCATTCATGGATCTTAGAGTGTGATGAAGAAGTCATACAGTTAGCAACATGATTATACATATTCAGTCCTCCCTCATCATCCATGGGGAATTGGTGTTTTTATAAAAAGTGGAAATCTGGACATAGGGAGAATTCCGTGGAGATGAAGGCAGAAATAAAACTGAAGCGTCTACACACCAAAGAATTTCAGTAAACCATGAGAAGCTAGAGAGAGGCAAGAAAGGTGCGTTAACCCATTCTCACATCACTGTAAGGAACTACCCGAGACAGGGTAATTTATAAAGAAAAGAGGTTTAATTGGCCCATGGTTCCACAGGCTGTGCAAGAGGCATGGCTGGGGAGGCCTCAGGAAACTTACAGTCATGGCGGAAGGTGAAGTGGAAGCAGGCATATCTTTACATGGCCACAGAAGAAAGAGAGACGGTGTGAGCAAAGCAGGAGGTGCTATACACTTCTAAACAACCAGATCGCATGAGATATCTGTCACATGGTCTATCAGGAGGTCTATCACATGAGAGGTCTCTCGTGAGACAGCACTAGGGGGATGGTGCTGAACATTAGAAACCACCCCCAGTATCCAGTCACCTCTCACCAGGCCCCACCTCCAACAATGGGGATTACAATTCAATGGGATTTGGGTGGGGACATAGAGCCAAGCCATATGAAAAGGACTCCCCTACTGGTTCCAGAGGGAGCATGGCAATGCCGACACCTTGGTCTCAGACTTCTAGCCTCCAAAACTGTGAGACAATCCCTTTCCATTGTTTAAGCCTCCCAGTTTCTGGTACTTTTTAACATCAGGCCTAGACAACTAATAGACAGAATCAGGGAAATCATCAAATCCAGGGTTGGGGGTGGAGTGGGGAGGAGCAAGGATGAAAACTAAGGCATGGAGCTTCATGGACAGGGAGCTAAGAGGGCGTGAGAACTGATTGAGAGCGAAGAGAGGAGACCCTGAGGAATGGCCAACACATGTCTTCTGCTCAGTTTGGGTGTCTGCCAGGGCTGGTGCCTGAGGCTGATGGGGAAGCCAGCCCAAATGATAGAGGAGGCTTTGAAAATCCACCTGGATGACTCATGTAGACGGCTGGCTCCTGCGCTTACCTGGGTGTGGAATGACCAATCATCCCTGTTTGCCTAGGACTGAGGAGTTTCCTGGGATACGGACTTCCAGTGCGAACACTAGCAAAGCCTCAGAAAAATTGCTATATTGCTCACCCTACCTGGGTATAACCCCAAAGGGTACAGCTTCTTTGAAACAATGTAAAATCCCAAGGGTGGTTCTCAGGCTAGCCTGCCAAAGCGCGATGATGTTGGCCACACTCTGATTACACCACGGTGCTGATGGATCTGAGCAGCCACAATGAGGATGTGGCCATGGTGTCTGTGGGTCCCTAATCTTCACAAATTTCAGAACAGAGGCCAGACCAGGGACTTCTTTAATGGAGAACCTGCCTGGTTTTCCTTCCAGTCCTCCAGGATATGCCAGGAGCACCTGTATTGGGGTGAGTGGTGCCCCCCAAAAGATATCTCCTTGTCCTTATGCCTAGAACCTATGAGTCTTACTTTACATGGCAAAAGTTGTGATAAAATTAAGAATCTTCAGAGGGGAAATTTATTCTAGATCATCCTGAAGACAATAGATGCCACCGTAGGTATCCTGATAAAAAGGAATGCAGAGGGAGGTTTGATACAGAAACACAGAGGGGAAGGTGGCATGAGGATGGAGGCGGGAATTGAAGCGGTGCAGCCACATGCCCAGGAATGCTAGGGCAGCCAGTCCTAGAAGAAGCAAGGGCTGGGTCATTCTCCAGAGGCTCCAAAGGGAGTGTGGCCCTGCTGACACCTTGATTTCAGTCTTCTAGCTCTAGACCTGTGAGAGACTCAGTTTCTGTTGTTTTAAGCCACCAGGTATATGGTTAATTGTTATAGCAGCTATAGGAAACTGAGGCAGCACCCATAGACTGAGCTTTTAGAGCACCAGACAAGAGAATCCAAGCTTGGGTCCCCATCTGATCATGGCCACGCCTCCATCTGATAAGCTGTTGCCCAGAGTCTCTCACGAATGACAGGTAGCTAGTCGGTGGTCATTGTGTGTGGGGGACAAGTGGGTGGGCTAGGGTCTGCTCCATGCCAGCTGAGCCTCAGCATTAATTCACAAGTGAAGCTCAAAGCAACCTGCTTCTGCACTTGAGAATCATGGGCACTTCTCCCCAATAGTCAGGCATTAGACTTCACCAGGCAGCTGGTGTTTTGTGGGAAAAAATAGGCATGCAGGGCCCTGGCAATATGATAGGCACAGAAACTGGTAGAAGAGGAGGGAGGCGGGAACTGCTTGGCGGCGGAGTTGGTGCTAATTCATTCAAACAGCCTCTCCCATTGGCGCAGCCTTTTGCAGCCTGTAGGGTGTTTTCACAGGCTTTTCCTCATCTGCTCCTGGCAAGATCCCTGGGAGGGAGGCTGGGAGGGGGTGCTGATGTGTTGGAAAGACAAAGTTCTGATGACCAGGGGAGGTGTTGGCACCTGGGTCTCCCAGCTGGTGAGCCAGGGGAGGCAGAACCAGCTGCCTCCAATTTAGTGCTCATTCCTCAGCTTCAAGGGGGCTAGGAGTTGAGCTCAGGCAGGTTCCATCAGGTGGCTCCCCTGTTTTGCTTTGGGGGGCAGCTTCTGCAATGCCTGTGAAGGATTGTCTCAGGGTGGGTTCTCCAGGAAGCAGACAGTGGGCATGCAAGATGTTTTTTAGGGTATATTTTGGGGGCCAATGCCTATGGAAGGGAGGGCGAGGAGGTGGTACTGGACAGAGGGAGAAGTTGAGCTGGAACGCAATCTTCAGTGGTGGCCTCAGCCATCCCCACAGAGAGTTCTGCTGCTAGGATGACCCTTGACAGCTGTCTCAAGGTGAGGCTAGAAGGCTGGGTCTTTTTACCCCTGGGTTGATCAGCCATTGGATGTGGGCTTCCCCAGAAAGAGGGCATGATCTTGGGTGAGGGACCCTCCTCAGCTGAGCAAACCCTGGAAGAGGATGCCAGGTGAGGGCTCTCTGCCTGCAGCACTTCCAGCAGCTGGAGATGTGTCCTTCATTTCTGCAGGGGGCCCTGGTGATGTGTCATATTATCTGCTACAGGGGCCTTTGAGAAGGATGGGGGTGACTAGTGGGAGTCAATATCCTACTGAAGCTGCTCTTGGAGTATTGAGGGGGTCAGGAGGAGGCCCAGGGAGTGATGTTTCCCAATATTGCGTCATAGAGAAGGTGGCATTTACTACAAGAATATTGCAAATAACCATAGGGAAAGATTTTGAACATACCCACAGCAAAGCTATTTCAAGTAGTTAAGACTTGGTGACTTTTTTTTTTTTTTTTTTTGAGATGGAGTCTCACTCTGTTGCCCAGGCTGGAATGCAGTGGCATGATCTTGGCTCATTGCGGCCTCCACCTCCCAGGTTCAAGCGATTCTCCTGCCTCAGCCTCCTGAGTAGCTGAGACTACAGGCACGTGCCGCCACACCCGACTAATTTTTTGTGTTTTTAGTAGAGATGGGGAGGAGGTGGTACTGGGCAGAGGGAGAAGCTGAGCTGGAAGGCAGTCTTCAGTGGTGGCCTCACCATGTTGGCCAGGATGGTCTTGATCTCCTGACCTCGTGAACTGCCTGCCTTGGCCTCCCAAAGTGCTGGGATTACAGGCATGAGCCACTGCCACTGGCCTTTTTTTTTTTTTTTTTTTTTTTTTTTTTGTATTTTTAGTAGAGACGGGGTGTCACCATGTTGGCCAGACTGGTCTCGAACTCTTGACCTCAGGTAATCCGCCCACCTCAGCCTCCCAAAGTGCTGGGATTACAGGCATGAGCCACCACGCCCAGCCAAGACTTGATGACATTTCTAGGGGAAAATTCTCTCAGAGTTCCAGCCCACTTCTGGCTCAAACCACCAATCGTTCCTAGGCTGGGGTCATTGTCTGCAGACCTGATAAATTATCTGCCAATAATTGTGAGTTAAGCAGCCTCGGGACACAGGGCTTGGAGAGACACTGGTGAATTGTTGCATGCATCTCTCTTGGTACACAGAAGGCTCATAGGCTTTGAGGCCACAGACACAATTTTAAGTCTTAGTTCTGCTGGTTGCTTGCTGTGTGACCTTGCACAAATTACTTGACTTCTCTGAACTTCAGTTTCCTTCCCCTATGAAATGGGGGCAATAATACCTACTCATTTAGCTTTTCTTCTGTTATTACATCTCATAAAAAGTGTTAACTGTAGGTAACTGAAAGAAATATGTGCATATGTATGTTTATATGTATACACACACACACACACACACACACACACACACACACATTGTTATTGTGCTTGCTAGGCACTCACTGTGCTCCCAGCCTTATACCTGGGGAGTGAAGAGGGAAGGTAATATTTGATTTATTCTCAAACAGCTTACGGTCTAGTGAAGGTGAAACAATTTACTTGTGAAGTCATAAGAATATTACTCTCTTTCACAATTATTTAATTTAATAATAATTAAATTAAATTATTAATTAAATGCCCTGTGCAAAAGGCATTTTTAACCCCTTTTACAGATGGAAAAACTGAGGCTCAGAGAAGGGAGGAGACTTGCCTGAGGTCACAAGGCAGATCAGTGGTGATAGGACAGGAACTAGGACTCAGGTCTCCTCAGTCCCATGAGCTTCTCAGGGACACCCAGGATGCTGACGCTTCTGGGCTTGTCAATTTCCACTAAGTGTTCCTGCAGAGTGACGCTGTTATTGCTAAGGAAGAGACTGAATGGTTAGTGGAGTTGGGTGGGTTAATGGGGCAGCTGCTTGGAGCAGGGGTAATCCAGGCTGGGGCTGAGGGAAGAGGGACCAAGGGGTGATCTGTTGGGGGCTGCAGGGACCCCCAGTTGTGTAGGAATTGGGCACTGTCAGCATGCCTGGGGTCAAACTGCATTGTCCTTGCCTGCCTCTGAGCCTGGTGTTTCCATCTTACCGTGGGAAGATAGGACTATGCAGTGTCTGAGATTCCTTGTGGCTCCACATTTCCAGGGCTCAGATTCTGATGTAACCCTGATCTGAAAGGAGGGGGCTGACATTCTGGGATGTGGCAAACTTGAATGACTCCTGCTTGCAGAAATGTTGGGGTTGGGGATTGGAGGTGAGGGCTGTGGGAAATGTTTTAAATTATCTTTTTAAACATTTTTTGAGACAGAGTTTCGCTTGTGTTGCCCAGGCTGGAGTGCAATGGTGTGATCTTGGCTCACTGCAACCTCCGCCTCCCAGGTTCAAGCAATTCTCCTGCCTCAGCCTCCAGAGTAGCTGGGGAACCTGGCTAATTTTTTGAGTAGCACCACCATGCCCGACAAATTTTGTAGTTTTAGTAGAGATGGGGTTTCTGCATGTTGGTCAGGCTGGTCTTGAACTCCTGACCTCAGGTGATCCGACCGCCTCGGCCTCCCAAAGCGTTGGGATTACAGGTGTGAGCCGTCACGCCCGGCCTAAATTATTTTTTAAAAACCATTTTAAGCATACAACGCAGTGATATAAATTGCATTTACCATGTTGTGCAACCATCACCATTATCTATTTCCAAAACTTTGTCATCACCCCACACAGAAATTCTATACCCATAACTCTCGATTCCCACTGCTCTTCAGCCTCTAGTAACCTCTAATCTGTCTTCTGTTTCTCTGAATTTGTCTATTCCAGATACCCCATGGAAGTGGAATCACACAATATTTGTCTTTTTGTGTCTGGCTTATTTCACCTAGCCTGTTTTTGAGGTTTGTCCGTGTCGTAACATGTATCCTTGTTATGGCTGAATACACCCTTTATGGCTGTGTACACCATTTTTTCGTTTATTCATTCATCTGTGGCTGGATGCTTGGGTCATTTCTACCTTTTGGCTCTTGTGAATAATACTTCTATGAACATTGATAGACAAGTATGTGTTTGAGTTCCTGTCTTCAGTTCTGTTGGGTATACGCCTAGGAGTGTAATTGCTGGGTCACGTGCTAATTCTGTTTTGCTTTTTGAGAAACAGCCAAACCGTTTTCCACAGCAACTGCACCATTTTATCTTCCCACCAGCAATGCACAAAGGCTCCAATTTCTCCACATCCTCACCAACATGTGTTTCCTTTTTTTAAATTAAAGCCATCTGACATCCTAATAGTTGCGAAGTGATATCTCACAGTGGTTTTGATCTTATTCCCCCAATGACTAATGACATTGAACACATTTTCATGTGCTTAAAAGTCATTTATATATCTTCTTTGGAGAAATACCTATTCAAGTCCTTTGCCCATTTTAAAATTAGGTTCTTTACTTTTTTGTTATGGAGATGTAAAAGTTCTTTACATGTTCTAGATATTAAACTCATAAGATATTTGAGGTGCAGTCATTTTCTCTCATTCTATGGGATGTCTTTTCACTTTCTTGATAGTGTCTTTTGATGTACAAAAGTTTTAAATTTTGATGAGGTCCAATTTGTCTATTATTTTCTTTTCTTGCTCATGCGTCTAAGAATCCTCTGCCAAATCCAAGGCCATGAAGATTTACCTCTACATTTTCTTCTAAGAATCTTACAGTTTTAGCTCTTAGATTTAGATCTTTGATCCACTTTGAGTTAATTTTTGTATATGCTGGGAGAGGTAAGGTAAATTCCTTTTTAACAAATATTTTGTTAAATGTGGTTATGCTATTTTTAATGGAAAAAACCTGATATTTAAAAGCTAAAATTAAAAACTAAAACAAAAACAGGGAGAGCTGAAGTAAAGCAGATAGACAGGGCCAGAAGCATTCAGATGGTCTTAGACACAAATGCAGAAGTAGGTTTTCAGTGCCTGAAGCAAGAGATTTTCATCAGCTTTTTTTCTATCCTAACCAAGATATGGGGTAGGATGCTGAACTCGGGGGCCCTTTAAATCAGTGCTTGTCAGACACACAGATCATGTGGGCATCTTGTCGATAAGCAGATTCTGATTCAGTAGGTCTGCGTTAGGGCCTGAGATTCTGCATTTTTGTTTTTTTGGTTAACTATATTTTACTGTGGTAAGAAGATTTAACATGAGATCCATACTCTTAATTTTTTTTTTTTTTTTTTTTTTGAGACAGAGTCTCGCTCTGTCACCCAGGTTGGAGTGCAGTGGCACAATCTCAGCTCACTGCAACCTCCGCCTCCCGGGTTCAAGAGATTCTCGTGCCTCAGCCTCCCAAAGTGCTGGGATTACAGGCATGACCCACTGCGCCTGGCCCTCTTAAATTTTTAAGCATACAACAAATACAGTATTTTTGACTATAGGTATAATGTTGTATGGCAGGTCTCTAGAAGTTATTCATCTTACCTAGTGGACACTTTATGCCACTGATGAATAATTCCCCATTTCCCTCCTCCCCCAGCCCTTGGAAACACCATTCCACTCTTTGATTCTATGAGTGTGACTATTTTAGATACCTAGTATATGTGGAACCAAGCAGTACAATTGGCCCACAATCTGCAGGTACCTCCCATTCAACCAATTGTATATTGAAAATACTGCATTTGAAAAAGAAATGATACAAATACAATACAAAAAAATAAAAACAATATAATAAAAGACAACACAAATAAATATGTAGTATAACAACGATTTACATAGCATTTACGATCTATTAGGTATGATAAGTAATCCAGAGATGATTTAAAGTATGTGGTAGGATATGCATAGGTTATAGGCAAATTCTACACCATGTTATATCAGGGACTTGGGCATCTGTGGATTTTGGTATCCAAGGAGGTCCTGGAACAAATCCCCCATAGATACAGAGGGAGGTCTGCATTTGCCTTTCTGGAACTAGCTTGTTTCCCTTAGCATAATGTCCTAAAGATTCATTTATGTCATCACCTCACATCTGTTAGGGTGGCTATTATCAAAGAAAAAGACGATGAATATTGGTGAGGATATAGAGAAATTGGAATTCTTGCACACTGTTGGTGGGAATGCAGGATGATGTGGCTGCTGTGGAAAACGGCATAGAGGTTCCCAAAAAATTAAAAATAGGACTATCATATACTCCAGCAATCTTATTCCTGGGTATGTATCCAAAAGAACTGAAATCAGGATCTCAAAGAGATATGAGCATTCCCATGCTCATTGCAGCATCATTCACATTAGCCAAGGGAACAACCTAATGTCCATTGACAGATGGATGGAGAAACAAAATGCTGTGTATACATACAGTGGGGTATTATTCAGCCTCTGCAGTGTTTGAGATTCTGCCCTTCTAACAAGTTCTCAGGTGATGTGGGTGCTGCTGGCCTGTGGAGAGTCCTGGTTCCTGCAGGCGTCGGTGTTGAGGTTTGTGGCCTGGTCTATGTGCCCAACCCTCTGCCTTCCTCCTACCATCTGACCCAGGGATGAGTGGAATAATGGTCAGGACTGGGCTGGCCTGTGAGGGAAGCAGAGAGAGGCCTGTAGGTTTCACCACAGGTTGTGGTTGAGGAGTCCACCTTACAGCCTGGACACTGGCTTAGCAGTGACCAGAGGAAGTGAGTGAGGCACCTGGGGTGCAAAATTTAAGGAGTTGCTTATTTTGGGGGTTGTACAAGTGCAGGGTCAGCATGTATGTGACTGAGACAGTAAGGGTCTCCTTAAACTTCATGCCCCAGGCATCTCACTTGCCTCATCCAGGTTCCAGCCCTGGGCTCAGGGTCCATCTAGGGGCCTCTCCTGGCCCACCTGGGACAGAAGGAGCAGATCTAGCTTAAAGACCTCTAGGATTTTGTGGGAATGTGTATGAGAGTTCATATAAAGGATTCCCCAGTGATCATACCCAGACCGGCTACATAATTTGTAGGGCTGAGTGTAAAATGAAAACTCAAACATTGTTAAGAATTTTAAGACAATGGCAGCAGAGAATTTAACCAAACATGTGCCCTTCTGATAGTGGGGACCCCATTAAACTGCATAGGTTGCAGGCCCTAGGCAGACCTGTAATGACAGAATGGATGGCTTTGTAAGGCGGTGAGCTCCCTGGCTGTGGAATGATGAGGAGGCCCTCCAGCATCAAAACAGAACTGCACTCAAGGTTGCAGTCTGCAGGCGGCATTGCATTTGGAGGGCTGCTTCTCTGAGGGTCCGAGCTGGGAACCTTCTGACCCCCATCCTTTGGGCTGCCAGGCCAACCCTGAGAGGAACCCTTGGTCTCAGTTCTTCAAAGCCACAGCAGACAGCAGGAGTCAGCTGCATATTTCCCCAGTGCAGGTGGAGTGAGGCTTTGCCTGGGGGCTCTGTCTTTACTCAGAACCTCAGCCTTGCTAAGGGCCTCTCTAAGCAGGAGGAAGATTTTGCAAGATCCTCCCAGCAGAGGGAAGAAGGGAAGTTGTGCCTGGGAAGCCTGGGGAGGATTTTTGATGCAAGAGAGTCTTGAGAAAATGACCTGCTTGGAGGACAGACATAGCTGTTGAGGGCAGGGAGAAGTCATAGCTTCTGGCCAGCAGACAGCAGACAGCAGCCTTCCAGGACCAGTCAGCTCTGGCTGGAGGGAGATCTCTACCCTGGTTCTGGCAGCCTGGTCTAGGGTTCTGCTTGACTCCTGGTGTCCCCACCCTACACTCTTCTGAGGGACTCATGACTCAGGAATGCACAGTTTAGGTGTCATGGGCCAGGCCACTGATGGTCAGGATTGGAGGGTGGCTGCTGAATTGGCCAGGGGTAGGAGCCAGGTGACATGTGGCCTTGGCCTAGATTCCCCCAGACTCCCCAGGCCATGGGGTATTCCTACCTGGCCTGGACTCTATAGCTTCCTCTCTAATCTCTGGGGTCCCACCTGGAGGCTGCCTGCTCCAACTCTATTTCCAACATGCTGGACTCCAAGAGAGCTCCTACTGGTGGATGAGGGGACTGTGGCTCCTGATAACCTCTGGGCAGCATCCCACAGTTAAGAAGCACTTTCAAAGTACTGTCCCATCTTCTCTTTACCATAACCTTCTGAACGAGATGAGGATCCTTGTTTTATCGATAAGATCACTAAGGAGCAGAAAGGTTCAGACTTTGCCCAAGTCAATCCAGAAAAGAGCTTGGCCAAGGTTTGAACTGAGATCAGTCCAACTCTGAAACCCAAGCTCATTGTAATACCTCGACCAGCAGTTCTCAAATGGGATTACGCACCAGAGTGACTTGGGGAGCACAGAAAAACACAGGTAGCTGGGCCTTTCCATCTTAGTCTATGACAAAATGTCATAGACTAGCAGCTGATAAACAAGGAAAACGTATTTCTTGTAGTTCTGGAGACTGGGAAGTCCAAGATCAAGGTGACTGCAGATTTGGTGGCTGGTGAGGGCTGGTTCCTCAGTGACGATGCATTCTCGCTACACCCTCACATGGTGGAAGGGGCTAGCTAGCTCTCTGGGGCCTCTTTTTTTTTTTTTTTAGATGGAGTTTTGCTCTTGTTGCCCAGGCTAGAGTGCAATGGTTCGATCTCGGCTCACTGCAACCTCCTCCTCCAGGGTTCAAGCAATTCTCCTGCCTCAGCCTCCCGAGTAGCTGGGATTACAGGCACCTGCCACCACACCTGGCTAATTTTTGTATTTTTAGTAGAGACGGGGTTTCACCACATTAGCTAGGCTGGTCTCAAACTCCTGACCTCAGGTGATCTGCCCGCCTCGGCCTCCCAAAGTGCTGGAATTACAGGTGTGAGCCACTGTGCCCAGCCTCTGGGGTCTCTTTTATAAGAGCACTAATTTCTTTTATGAGGGTGGAACCCTCTGATTTAATCATCCCCCAAAGGCCCTGCCTTCTACTAACATTGCCTTGGAGATCACGTTTCAACATGTGAGTTTTGCGGGCAACAAATATTCAGATCGTATCACACCCCTAGCTTCTGATTCAGTAGGTCTGAGGTGGGGACTGAGAATCTGCTTTTCTAACAAGTTCCCAGGGTGTGTGGATGCTGCTGGTCAGGGGGCCAGATTCTGAGAACTCCGACCTAGAAACATTTTTCTTGTATTCAGAAACCAGACTCAGGCAGGAACTATGTACCAAATCAGGGTGCAAACACATTGCAGAACAATGGCAGTGCCAGGTTGAACTCGTGCCACACTAAGCGTGTGCCAGGCACTGTAAGGCACCAGCTTATTTAATCCTTGTAGCAACTCTATGAAGTGGGAAGCCTCATTGTCCCCATTTTAGAGATGAGGAAATATAGCCACAGAGGAAAAACTGCCCAAGGTCATACAGCCCAGGCTTGAAACCCAGGCAGTCTGGCTCCAGAGTGTACCCTGACTTATACCAGCCCAAGTCTTACAGACCTGGGTGTGAGTCCCTGCTCCATCACTTACCACCCCTACGACCTTGAACATGTTACCTGACGCTTCTCAGCCCCAGTATCCAGGCTTGTGCAACGGGCAAAAGAGTGGTGCCTGCTCTTTGGGATTCTAAGGATTAGAAATGATGAATCAAAGGGCCTGGAGGAAGGGTGCAGCATACAGTGGCACTCACTAGACAGTAATGACTATTATTGAGATTGGTGAAAAGCACCTGCCCTCATCCTTGGGCACAAATCCCTTAGCCAAGGATGTGGGGAAAGCCAGGATCTTCTTTCCTCTCCTCCCCCTCCCCATCCTCCAGCTCCCCAAACCCTCAGGCCTTCAGTGTTACTTCTGAATGGGACCCCCTCTCTCAAGCAGACCTGGGAGCTCTGGGTGGGGGTGCAGCATGGGTGCTAGGGATGACAGTTTCCCTTTGGGGGCTGGGAATTCATTATTTCTGGCTAGACTCAAACACTGCAGCTTTGGAAGTGAGTGCATTTTGCTCCAGATATAGGGACATAAAAGATTTGGCTTCACGGCCAGGCACTGTGTCTCACACCTGTAATCCCAGCACTTTGAGAGGTCGAGGTGGGTGGACCACCTGAGGTCAGGAGTTTGAGACCAGTCTGTCCAACATGGTGAAATCCCGTCTCTACTAAAAATACAAAAAGTAGCTGGATGTGATGGCAGGCACCTGTAATCCCAGCTACTCGGGAGGCTGAGGTGGGAGAATTACTTGAACCTGGGAGGTAGAGGTTGCAGTGAGCCGAGATCGCATCACTGCACTCCAGCCGGGGCGACAAAGAGCGAAACTCTGTCTTAAAAAAAAAAAAAAAAAGAAGAAGATTTGGCTTCAGATGGGAGACAGTTCAAAATCATAAATCACAGACAATCACAGAGGAGCCCTCTTTCCTTGTTCAGGAGGGAAACGGACCCTAACCGTCCTGGTTTTCATTGATGGGATTTTAGGAGGATCTTCTACCAGCTGCCGGGGGGCGGGTGGAGAGGGGCCCATCATGCCAGAGAACCAATTGTGGAGCCTTCAGCAAGTGGGCAGCCCTGCCCCTGCAATTTGTGGCGAAGGAGGCTCTTCCCAAGCCCCTTACCAACTGGTGTGTGTGAAATATTGCACTTAACTATGTGCTTCTGGGCTCCTTTGATAGCCCAGTGGGGCATGTCTTGGTCATGTGTGGCTTTTACAATTATATTCCTTGGGGGTATAAGAGGAAGTATGGGCCAGGTGCAGTGGCTCACACCTGTAATCCAAGCACTTTGAGAGGCAGAAGCGGGCAGATCACTTGAGGTCAGGAGTTCAAGACCAGCCTGGCCAACATGGTGAAACCCCCGTCTCTACTAAAAATACAAAAATTAGCTGGGTGTGGTGGTGCACGCCTGTAATCCCAGCTACTAAGGAGGCTGAGGCAGGAATCACTTGAACCTGGGAGGTGAAGGTTGCAGTGAGCTGAGATCGCACCACTGCACTCCAGCCTGGGCGACAGAGCGAGAATCTGTCTCAAAAAAACAAACAAAAAAAAAGGAAGTACATAGACTCTGGAATTTGACAGATTTGGTATCCAGCTCAGGCGCTTCTGAGTGCTTTTATAGAACTTCCCAGGGGCTAGGCACCAGTCTTAGTGCTTTATATAAATTATACATTTAATATTCATACCAACCGTATGAGATAGACACAACCATTACTCCTCTTTTAGAATAAGGAACTGAATCATGGAGAAGTGAAGTAAATTACCCAAGGTCACACAGCTAACAAGTGGTTGAACCTTGAGGTACTGGCTGTCGATGCTATTTATTTAGGGTTGTTTAAAGTGGTTTCTGTGTATTAACTCATTTAATCTCACAAACTCTATGAAGTAGAAATTATTCTTATCCCTGCTTTATGGATGAGAATACTGAGTCTCAGAGATTGGTCTTTTCCAAGTTCATAAGGGAGGCAACATGCCCTGATGGTAAAGGACAGGAGGACCTGCAGCTGGACCGACCAGCGTTCAAATTCCATTGCCACTCCTTACTAGCTGTGTGACCCTGAGCAACTTACTTAACATCTCTGACCCTCAACAAAGGAGGGATAGTGATATAGGATAGCAGGGGGTAAGTGATAATAGTATCTAGTGCTTACCACGAGATACCCTCTACTATAATACTTAGTTCCTTACAATTTTAACCTGTTAAACTGTTCCAATAACCCCATGATTCTATTACTAGTCACATGTTTATGGATAAAACATAGAGAAGTTACGTCACTTGCCTAAATTCACACAGCTAGAAAATACAAGAGCTAGGATTAGATGATGGGTAGTTAGCTTGGGCAGTCTGGCTCCAGAGACGGTGCTCTTAAGGACTGAATTATACTGATCACATATGTAACCAGTTTATAGAATGAGCTGGAATTGTTAGGCTGCAAGCAGAAAGTAATTTAATATTTACCCCATTAATTCATTCTCTTCAATAATTTTTTCCTGTTCCCAGATGAAATCTTCAGCAGATCTTTAGCTTTTCTGTACAATCTTAGGAATTAATAAGTAGCTCATCTTCCCCCCAGTCATTAAAAAGTCCCGTTTTCTATATTATCGAAACTTTAGTCTCACAACCAATTCAAAACAACTTTCTCTTCCCAAATACCCCTTAGCTTGGGCCCCCTTCAGGCTAGGACACCTGCCTTGGGGAAAAATGGTCATGATTGGGCTTCCTGATGCTTGCTACCATTGAGTTTCTGCACCTCCTCCTTCTCTACCTCTTCTGTGTGGGTTTTCCCAGGTCTGGAGCTGAGGGAGGGAGGAGAGGCAAGGGGTTGAACCACGTGATCCGTGGAGTTACCAGCTGGAGCTGGCGCCCTCTTGGGGTGGTGCATTTCAAACCCTGATCCTTTCACTCATGGGACCCTTTGGAGGGTTTCTTGGGTAATGGGCGGTTCCCTGGGATACATGGTCTCAGCTTAAGAGGCTCCTCTCAGCCCCTGGCTTCCTGCTGTCTGTCTCCCAACAGACCTATGGTGGATCTCTGGGTGGAGGCCCTTTCAAGACAACTTCCTTCTGGAGGGAAGGGTCCATGCCTTCGTCTGCCCTCCTGGAAGTGAAACTGCTGCAGCCCCCTCTTCTTGCTGTGTTATTCCTTTAGCCATCACTTGAGCCTTTTATGGTGTCAGTGAGGTACCAGCCCCTGCAGCCCTGAGATTCAGATGACTTGAACCAAGCTTGTGACAGGGAAGCACCTCCTTTCTCCATGAGAAGAGAGAATAGCACATGACGCCAGAAACCCCCTCTCAAAAAACATCCTCCTGCTCCATCCTCTCCTCATTAATTTTCAAGCCTTTCTTTCCATGCTTTCAAGGTGGGTGATGGATGAAGGGTTGCCAGGTGTGATTTTTTTTGGTCATCCTTCTGCAAGTCTTTCAGAGATGATGCAACAGCTCTACAGGGTATGTGGACACCAAACACCCTCTGCTCTCAGCTTTGCATCTGTAGAAAGTGGTTTCCAAAGATAGCCACTAGTAATTCCTCCATCCATGCATGCACAGGCCACTCCTCCCATCAAAAGAGGGTTTACTCCTCCTCCCTTGGCCTTTGGGCTGGCTTTACAACCTGCTTTGATCAATGGAATGTAGTGAAAGTAATGCCATGCCAATTCTGGGCCTGGCCCTTAAGATGCTGTTTTCTTTCCCTCCTGGAACACTGTTGCCAAGCTGTAAGGAAGTCAGGCCATGCTGCTGGGGAAAGAGGCCATGCTGAGAGGCCCTGGGGGATGAGATGCCCCATGGAGAGGCCACAAAGGAGGAGGGCAGAAGTGTGCCAGCCGACAGTTGGCTCCAATATGTGAGAGACCTTCTCAGACCTTCTGCCCGTCAACCACCTGAATGCAGCCACGCAAACAATTGAGATGACGGACATGGAGCAGAAGGTCTGCCCAGTCAACCCAGAGAGTCATGAGAAATAATAAATCATCACGGTTTAAAGCAAATCAGTTCTGGACTGTTTGTGATGCAGCTATTCATAGGTAACTGAACCTGGAGCCACTGCTGAAACTGAGATGCCAGGACACCTTCCCCGTTAGCATCTCCTTCAATAAATAGAATACACGTTAGGCGCGACTCTGGGAACAGGTATTGATATCGGTGTCATTGTTAATAGTTGATATTATCAAGACCTGTGTTCCCATTCTGGCCTTGTCAATTAGTGGACTCATCTTTTTTAGCCTAATGTTTTTCATCTGTGATATGGGAACTTCTTCCATTCTTACATGGGATTGTGGTAAGAATTAGAGGAAATATACTAAACATGGTGTGGGTGTAAATCAAAGACATTTTGGTTGGTTATTCACCTTCTCGACAATGGGGAGCCACAGCAGGTTTTAGAGGAAGGGAGGGCCGACATCCAGGCTACTTGTCACTTTAGTTTTCCCTGAGTGATTTGACAGGCTCACAAACATGTCCTGGAGCAACAGGCAGGGAAGAGAGAGGTGATGTGAGAGAGGACAGAGGTCCTTGGGCTCCTCCCCTCTGCTGGGGACGCTGGTGAGCATTTGGTTAAATTCTGGAGAGCACTTTTCACTACAAAATGGGTCTGCAGTCTCTTGGTGGATGAGTCCTAGTTCTCCAGCCTCTCCCAGGAAGCAGGCTTCTGCCTTTGGGCACATTTCCTAACCCATTATGGTAGAAGTGTTCAGCCAAGGTTCTCACTGCATGCAGGTGTCCAAGAGATGGATGCCCAAAGCACCTCGCCTGAGCCTCACTTCCCAGGCCCCAAACCTAATGGCTGTAACTGAGGCCCTGCAGGCACAGCTCTAGTGGCCAGGATGATGCTCGAGTGTCCTGCTGCAATGATGCTGCAAGATACTAATAACTGAGGTTGGAAGTTTGCAGGACCAGGGCCTACACCCTGCATGAGGCTGACAGAGCAGGAGTATTGCCATCTTGGACAAGCACTGTCATTTTAAGTCCACCTTGATCAAAAACTGCCTAAATCCAAAAGATATCAGCCTAATGGCTAAGGTCAGCAGGACCATAAACCACAAATCACATCTCCAACCAGAAACATTTCAAACCCCTCCCCAACCAGAGACATGCCAGCCCTGAGATAACTCCCCTCTGACCAGAGACATTCCAACCCCGCCATAAAACTTCTCCCTAACACAGAAATATTCCAAGCTTGTGATAAGCCCCCTCACCCTAAAACCAATATATACTCTTAGTCTGTAAGAGACAATGCTCCTGACCGAAATTGGCCAGAAGCCCCTCTCAGATTTATTTCTCTAAAATAAACCTGTCTTTGACTGTTGAGGCACACTTCGAGTTTCTTTCCTCTTTCTTTAACTCTTACAAAGGCTCTCTCTTCTCCTAGGCTGGGGCCAGCAGCTGTTCCTTTGCTTGTTCAGGAAGTAGCTCCAAGGCCACATAACTTCTCTCTGAGTGAGTAGGTAGATTCAGGGCACAAGGTCAGCACTTTAGGGGAGCTGCTAGCAGAAGGGATCCTGGGAGTAGGGGGCAGGGGCAGGGCAAAGAGCCCTTGGACAAGAGTCTGAAAACTTTGGTTTGGGTCCTTTCGGTTGCTTGCTCATGGTATGACCTTGGGAAAGTCACTTCTCTTTTTGGAGCCTCAGTTTTCTCATCTGCAAATTGGGAATGAACATGCTGCTCTGCCAGTCCTCACAGTGGGGCTATTGTGAGGACTGTTGAGATAATGGGACTGGTGAGGCACTACTTTTCCTCTGTACTTTCTTAGCTGAGGGACTTGAGCTGGTCGATACAGCTCTCAGCTTCTTAGTTCCTTTATCTGTGAAATGGGCACAATAAAATGTTGTGGTTTTTTTTTTTTTTTTTTTTGCTGGTTTGTCATGAGGTTTTTTTTGTTTTGTTTTGTTTTGTTTGTTTGTTTGTTTTGAGATGGAGTCTCGCTCTGTCACCCAGGCTGGAGTGCAGTTGTGCCATCTTGGCTCACTGCAAGCTCCGCCTCCCAGATTCATGCCATTCTCCTGCCTCAGCCTCCGGAGTAGCTGGGACTACAGGCACGCACCACCGTGCTTGGCTAATTTTTTTGTATTTTTATTAGAGACGGGGTTTCAACATGTTAGCCAGGATGGTCTCCATCTCCTGACCTTGTGATACACCTGCCTTGGCCTCCCAAAGTGCTGGGATTACAGGCGTGAGCCACTGCACCCGGCCTGTCATGAGGTTTAAAGGATCCTTTAGCTTCAAATGACAAAAACCATCTCTAATGAGTTTGAGCAACAAGGAAAATTGTTGTAATCAGCAGGGGTTTTTGGCACCTTCCAGACCACCCCACCCTTGATGTGACTTGGCTCCAAAACTCTCTGTTCAACATTTAAAGCTCACCTGGGGTCAAATGTTCCTGTCTGGACCAATGGGCTCTAGCCAGGAAGACAGAGTCAGGCCAAAGACACATGGCTTCTGTGAATCTACCCGCATGGCAGGGTAGACAGCCGTGTGCTGCTCATCTCCCAGAGCTCTGTGGACCAGTGCCTGGTGGCCTGCAGAGAATGGTGGTGGCCACTATCACCACGGTGACTGTTATGATAAAGAAAGGAGAGCCCAAAGTTATTCCCATCCTGAGGCTGCCCTCCAGAGGAGTTGTAGGGGCCTTTGGTGACAGTTCCAGGTATCTGTTTCTCCTCCATTGTCCAGGCCCTTGTCCTGCAGTCTCACAGCCAGGTCCTAAGGGCAGCTTGTGGTTTACTCAAGGTTCTCAGGGACATAGGACACTGACAGTCCACCTCTATGCTTATTTGCAGCACATGGGAGAGGCTGGAGAGGGGCACACCTCACAGGCGCAGTATATATCAGTCTGTAAGGCACTGTATCAGATCTTCATTCATTTTGATTTTGTTCCTCAGGCATTTTTAACTTTCACTAGTGATTAAAACTTTGAACCTTCCCAATGCCACAAAACCATTACAAGACAAGGCCAAGACTTTAACACACACCTTTTGATTCCTGATTCCCAGGCCAGGGTTCGGAGGTAGAAGTTGCTTGTCTGGTCAGAGAGAGAAGGCTCACATATGCAACAGCTGCAAAACTCCAAAGGATTGCTGCTCATTTATCCCCATACTTTCTCTGCTGCCTGTCCCTCCCTGCATCTATTCAGCCTTCCATTTACCCATCTATCTATCTATCCATCCATCCATCCATCCATCCAGTCATCCATCCATTCATCACAAAATTAGACCATCTGACCCTGTGCTGAGAAATCAGGAGAGAAAGATGAATCAGTGTGGTCTCTGCTATCAAGGAGATGCACAGGTGAACAGACAAATCAGAGCACAGGATAGAGTCACAAGCTGATAGAGGGTGGCACTGAGGCAGAGGAAGAACATGGAAGCCTGGAAGGATTGATGGAAGAGGTAACACTTTGTGCTGGAGGCATCGAAGAGCCACTAAAGTGTTTTAAGAACGGAAGCTGATATGGTCAACTTTGTGTTTTATGGTGGGAGAAGGAACAGGACGAATTGGGGTAGGATATGGTGAACTCTACTATTGTGCTTAACCATTCACTCCCTCTTCCTGTAAGCAGGCTATATTTCCTTACCCATTCCTCTATGACTTGCAATGTTTCCATAGGTATTTGATGCCAGGCTGATCTTGTGATCTGTTTTGGCCAATTAAATGAGAGTAGAGTGACATACACCAATTCTGACCAGAAGCTTTAAAAGGCTGTGTTAGTTATCTACTGCTGCATAATGAATTACCCTTAAACATAGTGGCCCAACACAATAAATATTTATTATCTCACACAGTTTCTCTGGGAAAGGAGTCTAGGAGGAGCATTGCCGGTTGGTTCTGGCTCAGTCACCCTTGAGGTTTCAGCCAAGATATCAGTTGGGCCACAGTCATCCGAAGACTTGACTGGGGCTGGAGGATCTGCTTCCAAGGTGGCTCCCTCACATAGCCAGTAGTGCTGGCTGTTGGCAGGAGGCCTCCGTCCCTCACCACAACGTCTCCTCCATAAAGATGCCGAGTGTCCTAGTGACATGGCAGCTGGCCTGCCCCAGAGCAGTGCTCCAAGATCCAAGAATGAGCCACAGTGCTTTTATGACCTATTTTCAGAGACTACACACCAGCAGTTCTGCTATGGGCTGGTAATTATAAGTGGGTCACTAACTCCAACTTATACTCAAGGGGAGGAGAATTAAACTCCACCTCTCGAAGCAAGGAGTATAAAAACATTTGTAAAAAAGATTTTAAAACCACCACAGAGGCATTGCATTTTTGTGCTGCTCTCTCGCCTTTTCTTGCTAGGAAAATGGCATGTCTCAGACAGAGACTGTTGCTCCAGCCTGAATCCTGGATCCCGCCAGTGCAGGAGAGTTGCAACTAGATCTTGCTGTTGCAAGATTCTGAAACTGAGAGGTTGTTTGTTACTGCAGCATAACCAAGTGAAAACTGCCTGCTACAAGGTAGTAGGTCTGAAGTCAGGGAGACTGGCTGAGAAGATGGGATTTGGCCTAAGGCAGGGGAAGGGGACTTGGAAGGTGGAGTGGAGAGGGCTTTGGTGACTGATGTACCACGGGGAGAGGAAGTTGCCAAGAGAACTCCAGGAATACTTGCCTGATTGTATGGGGCTTACTCTGAAGGAAGCAGGATATTTTTTAAAAAAGACTAGAGAGCCCCCCTGGAGCAACTAGAAGAGGCTTCATGGAGGGGGAATCTGGTGGGAGGGGTTCTTCAAGGCTGGACTGGGTTGGGTGATCTACTGCCAGATAGTCTGCTGCAGCCTGGACAAGCTGAGCTCTGGCTTGGCTGGGGATGATGTTCCCAGGATTCATTCAGTCATTGACTCAAAAACTAACATTTATTGAGTACCTACTATGTGTTAGGAACATTTCTAAACTTTGGAAATATTAAGATAATCAGAGAAAAAGCTATAGCTGTCAAGAAGTTTAAAGTCTGGTAGGCTGAGTGTGGGTGGCTCACGCCTGTAATGCCTGCACTTTGGGAGGCTGAAGCGGGCGGATCACGACGTCAGGAGATCGAGACCAGCCTAGGAAACATGGTGAAACCCCATCTCTACTAAAATGCAAAAAACTAGCTGGGCATGGCAGCAGGAGCCTATAGTCCCAGCTACTCGGGAGCCTGAGGCAGGAGAATAGCTTGAACCCGGGAGGCGGAGGTTGCAGTGAGCTGAGATTGCACCACTGCACTCCAGCCTGGTGACAGAGCAAAACTCCATCTCACAAAAAAAAAAAAAAAAAAAAAGGAAAAAGAAAAAGAAAAAGAAAAAGAAAAGAAAAAGTCTGGTAGATGGGAGAGGCAATAAACAAGTAACTAGTGTTGGGATCTCCCTTATCTCCTGACCACTGTCTGTTCCACTAGGCGGGGATCTTTCTCCACCTTTCTCTGCCAGGACATCTGCAGGAACCTTTCTGGCACCACCCAGTGGCTCACCTGGCGGCTGTGATCTGAGTTTGGCCTGACAGGTGAACTTCCTTCCCCGTGCCCCGACTCGCCCATCTTTGTGTGTCAGCCTTGTCACGTGTTTCTGCACTGACCGTGCCTTGTGTGGATGGAGGTGTTACAGGTAAAGGCAACCTTGAAAGCAGTCCAGGGAGGACCATGCTTTTGGAAGCAAAATGTTTTGGCACCAGGGCCTGGTGTTCTCCATGTCTGACGCGTGACCTTCACGCTCCCAGTGACGACTGCTGTGCTGTTACCACAAAATCCAATTTCAAATGATATTTATTTTAGTATCATTGTCTCCATCTCTGTCTAATTTTATTCCTATAGTTTCTTCATGCTTCCATTGACAACATCGCTGTTCTCCAAGATGGTCATAAAATAGAGTCAAGGTACATCAGATTTCCTTCCCAGGGGTGATAAGTGCAGTAGAACAGAAATTCCTTTACTAAAGGAAAACATGTTTTCATTTTTATTGTTGAAGAATATATGCAAAATTTCCATGACACAAGATACTTGTTATTAGCCAGTAACTTTTATTATGAGTTTTTTTTTTCTTTCTTAGCAAAGTAGAAACTAATACAAGTGTTTCCCAAGGTTGGACAAAGACCGATCAGACAGAGGTCAAGGGAAGATTTGTCATTAATTTGACTCTGGCTGGGCAAAAGGAGGATGTTTCTGGAAGTTCATTCCTTTGTGTGGTGTCCAGAGCCCAAGTCCTAATCGAGGCTCCACCACTGACTAGCTGCAGGATCTTGGGCAATTCCATTGCCTGGTCTGAGCCTCAGTTTCTCTCCTATAAAATGAGGGCCTCCTGCAAATAGACACACTCAGACATTGCTGGTAGTAGTGAGAATTAGCACAGCCACTTTGCAGAGGAGTTTGGCAATATCCAGCCACACTGAAAATGCAACGAAAGCTAAGACCAGCAATTCCACATCTAGGTTTCCACCTTAGAGAAACCCCCCCAGGGGTGTGCAAGGGTATTTACTGCAGCACTAATTAATGACAAAAAAAAAAAGGGAAACAACTTAGATTTCAGGCAATCAGAGGAGTAACTGAATAAAATGGAGTCTATTCATAAAATAAAATTAAAAGCAATTAAAGGAATGTGCTAGATTCACGCAGCAATATGGATAAATCTCAAGACGATCATGTTGAATGAGAAGAGTGTGTTGCAGAAAGCAGAGAAGAAGGTTATGTTGAAATTCTACCCCTTATGCTGATCAACACACACGAAGCAATACTACGAATTATCAGGGGTTTCTGTGTCTATGCCAAAGTTTAAAAATGGAACCAGAGAAGTGCACATTTAATTCATGATCATGTTTGCCTTGGCAGGATGAAAGAAAATAGAATTAGGAATGAGGAAGAAAGAGACTTTGAGTCTGGCTGTCATGTCATAATACATATGTGATTTAAATTTTATAAATTTCTAAAAAGGAAGACAAAGCAAGTAACATGAACAAATTGTCAGTTCTGCATGGTGGATAAGTAGGTGCATATGGGGTGCTGATTTTATGTTTTTCCTGTATCTTTAAAATTTCTCAACAAAATTAAAAATGAAAGCATATGCATAAAAATAAGCTGGAGGCCGGGCACTGTGGCTCACGCCTGTAATCCCAGCAGTTTGGGAGGCCGAGGCAGGTGGATCACTTGAGGTCAGGAGTTCAAGATCAGCCTGGCCAACGTGATGAAACCCCATCTCTACTAAAAATACAAAAATTAGCTGGGCCTGGTGGTGTGCATCTGTAATCCCAGCTACTCGGGAGGCTGAGGCAGGAGAGTTGCTTGAACCTGGGAGGCGGAGGTTGCAGTGAGCCGAGATTGCACCAATGCACTCCAGCCTGGGTGACAGAGTGAAACTCTGAAAAAAAAAAAAATCCCTGGAAAGGGCTCATTAGAAGGAAAAAGGTGATTCAGTCCTTTGGTCCCAACTTGTTGGGCCTCTAGGGCTAAAGAGTGTGGACTGAGGGTTCCACATCTCTTGGGATTCCCACCCTGGGAAACTCTACCCACAGTAGCTCTTACTCATCAGCCCAAACCAGGGAAGCCTGTGAGCAGTTGGTGTTGCTAAAATGTGGTATGTGAACAGGAGAAGGTGGGAATATAACAGGAAAAGGAGGCCAAGGAGCCACTCACGAGAGACTGGGGTGGCAGATGGAGCAATCAGGGTTGAAAGCACCTTTGGAGTTTTCCAGGGTGACAGAGGTAATGGGGAGGAAACACTCTAAGATGTGAGTGTGGTGCAAGTGAATGAACAAAGATGTGATGGACATGGGCTTTAGGGAGCAGGAAGCCGGCTCAGAGCAGCTAGAGAATGGAGTGGGTGCGGAAGGAGGTGAAGCTGGAGGTGCGTGTTTGGGCCAGATTATGCAAAAGCTGTGAGTACCGTGCCCAGCAGGGAGGACTCTATGCTAAGGGGCCAGGGAAGCAGCAGGCCTTGTAAGCCACCCTCTGGCAGCTGGCAAGGAGGCTGGGATGGAGAGGAGGCCCTGGAGGCAGGGGGTGTGGGAAGGTCCCACTGTCCAGGTGAGCATCCATGGGCAAGGCTGTTCTGAATTGCAGCAGTGCCAGTGAGGAGGAGGAGTGAAACTGGCTGGCAGGCACGACTGCAGTAATTACAAACACCTGCTTTTGGGCAGGCCCACAGCTTAGCACTTCACACAAGTGGATTTTTAAAATCCCAATATCCCTAGGAGGTAAGTATCACGTCCATCATCTCCATTTTACAGATGAGGAAAGGGAGGCCAAGGGAAGTTAAGAAGCTTGTGTGGGGCTCCACCACCAGACAGTGGCAGAGCCAGGCTTTTCACCCAAGCGGTCTCCATTGGAGGCCAAGACTGGACCACTGCATTGTGCTACCTCTAGGATAAACTCTGGGTAGAAACGTTGAAGCCCCCTTTGGGAAAAGATCAACTAATAAGGAGGTGATGGTGACCTGGCGCCCTCTAGCCTTTGAAGGAGACTTTACCATTTCCAAGGGGCTTTCATCCCAGCCTTGGTTCCAAAACCACTCTATGAGGTGCACAAGGCAGGTATCAGAATTCCTATTTTAGAGACAAGAAAACTGAGTCTTAGGTGGATTAAGGGACTCGACAAGCCCCCAGCTAGTGACCCCACTGTGCAGCCTGTCGATCTTCCAGCCTCTGGAATGGTCATCCATGCCCACTTCGGGCTGATCTTACACTGCTGTCACTTTAGGTTGGTCCTGAACTGTTGTCTCTTCCCCTCCTTTGCCTTGAAGCATCACAGAAGGCCTCGTGGTGTCTTTGTTTGTTTGTTTTTTTGTTTATTTATTTATTTATTTATTTATTTATTTATTTATTTATTTGAGATGGAGTCTCACTCTGTTGCCCAGGCGGGAGTTCAATGGCACGGTCTCGGTTCACTGCAAACTTTGCCTCCTGGATTCAAGTGATTCTCCTGCCTCAGCCTCCCGAGCAGCTGGGACTACAGGCGCATGCCACCACGCCCGGCTAATTTTTGTGTTTTTAGCAGAGACGGGGTTTCATTATGTTGGCAAGGCTGGTCTTGAACTCCTGACCTCATGATCTACCCGCCTTGGCCTCCCAAAGTGCTGGGATTACAGACATGAGTCACCGTTCCCAGCCCACAGTGTCTTCTTGACTCTACCTTGTCCTGGTGCCCTTCGCATCCCTGGTTTCACAGGAACGCCCTCCTGAGCACACACAGATCCCCTGGAGCCTTCTACTGTCTCCTCGCAGATACCTATTGATTAAAGCGCCAATCAGGCCTTTTGTTGGCCTCTGAGGCCATCTTTCCTCCAGGAGGCCCAATAGAGCAGTGCTTGTGGATATTTTTATGGGTCATGTTTTAAAAATTACATCCAAATTAAATTTGTGCTGATTTAATTAGAATATGGAAGCTGAGGGATTTCTTTATTGCTCTTCCTGCTGGGTCCTGGGCAAATGGCTTCTCTCTGGAAACTGCTGTGCTCACCACGAACAGATGTGGGGCAGGCTGGGCCATCCCTTGTCTGCCTGTAGATTAAATACCCTTAGGAAGTAGAAGGTCAAAACTGGAAGTGTCCTTGAGACCATCAAGTCCTCGTCCTTCCTTGCACAGAAGACAGGCTGAGCCCCAGAGATGGGCAACAAGCCACTTAAGGTCACATAGACAGGGCCAGATGGCCTTAACAATTCTGGCATCTCCTAGGAGCCTCTGTCCAGAGAAGAGGGTTGTCTGGTGAATAAGAATCTCTCCTTGGATGCTGTGAGGCACAGCAGAGCTGGAAGTCAAGGCCTCAGGAACGGCTTGAGGCTCAAGAGACCCCCAAGTAGCAACACCCCTAGATATGGCTTTAGGCACCATGCTTTCAGGGCTCTACCTCTCCAGCTCTCAGGTCTGCCTTCTCCTGAGCTGTTTTTAGCCTTAGGCTTTACTGGAAGCAGGACTAGCGTAGCAGCAGCAGACTTTATAACCTCTCATCTTGAAATATTTGGGCAAAAGGACTTTTTTTTTTTTTTGAGACAGAGTCTTGCTCTGTCGCCCAGGCTAGAATGCAGTGGCACGATCTCGGCTCACTGCAACCCCTGCCTCCCAGGTTCAAGCAATTATCCTGCCTCAGCCTCTGGAGTAGCTGGGACTACAGGTGCATGCCACTATGCCCGGCTAATTTTTGTATTTTTAATAGAGACAGGGTTTCACAATGTTGGCCAGGCTGCTCTGGAACTCCTAACCCATGATCCATCTGCCTCCCAAAGTGCTGGGATTACAGGCGTGGGCCACTGTGCCCAGCCAACATTTTTTTTTTACTTCCCCGAAGCCTCAACTGAACTCTCCAGTGGGGCATACCTCAGTCCTGCATCCCTTCTGGAGCTGAGGCAATCACAGGGCTGAGATCTAGGGGATGGTGGACCATCAGATAAAAATCGAAGGCTGTGATTACAAGAAGCCAGAAGGTGGGGTGGGGAGGAATGATAGCGCACCCCAAAACAGGTAGGACCACTGCGAAGCAGGTCAACATCGTCTTCAATGCACATGACATGGAAAGGCAATGGTTCAAATCCAAGTGTTACGACTTACAAGCTGTGCAGCCCTGAGCAAGTCAATCGATATCCCAAGCCTCATAAGGCTCATCTGAAAAACGGAGAAGCTAATCTTCACCTTATAGGGATTTTGTAGGAATTAGAGATATTAATATTATGTATACAAAGCACTTGACACAATGCCTGGCCTGGAGGAAGTCCGTAGTAGGTGGTGAGTTCTGATGGTGATGATGACAGCAGTGATGATGATGATGATGACAGCAGTGATGATGATGATGATGAGAATGATGATGATGATGACAGTGATGATGATGACAGCGATGACAATGATGATGACAGTGATGATGATGATGATGATGACAGTGATGATGATGATGATGATGACAGTGATGATGATGACAGTGATGGTGATGATGATGATGACAGTGATGGTGATGATGATGACAGTGATGATGATGATGATGTTGACAGCGATGGTGATGATGATGACAGCGATGATGATGACAGCGATGACGATGATGACAGTGTTGATGAAGATCTTGGGCTGTAGGTCTGCAAGTGGACACTCTGGTTTTCTTGGTGCCCAAAGGACTGTCTCACATACTTTTGGGTATCGAAATTGATCAGTAAGTTAAAGAATAAAAATAGCTAACAAGAAAAAAATCGAGTGTATCTTTTGGCACAAAACAGAATTGGTAAAGGCTCCAGGAAAAAGTTTCCATTCAAATGCCACTGTTCAATCTGAATATTTAAAAATATCTTCCTACTGAGCATATCCAGTTTCTGTTTCTTGGAATGAAAAGTAGATAACAAAAGTCAACAAACAACTGCCTTCCTTGGCATGTAACAACTACCACTGACTCACTGTCCCAGGCAAATCTGCTGTGGTTCTTTCCTTCTTAGATGAAAGACTCTGTGCTCCTTGAGGGAGATGCTGTTGGGGTCCACTCAATCCTGGAACCAATGAACATTCTTCTCCTTGGCAGAGCCCATGATGATGTACTGAGGCTCCAGATGTCAATCTTGGGCTTTGGTGCCCAGGGTGGAAGGAACCTCCCACCAAGCCTGACCTTGACCTCATGGCAGACAGTGGGTGAGCAGATCTGGCCACCTAACTTCCAGCACTCTTGTCTCTGTCATCTCCTTTGGTTTGCATGACAACTCAATGACTCCATGTGCTTTACAAGTGAGAATGTTGAGGTTCAGACAGGAAATCCAAGTCATCTAAGGTCACACAGCAAGAGAGTATCCGGGCCTATCACCTCCATCTCCTGCTTCCTAGCCATTCCTACTGTTGATGTCACATAAATGGACATTTGGAAAGTAAACTGACTATGGTACTGGAGCTGTTTGGGAGTAAAGAATCCACATCTCAAACATATGGCTCAAGCAATGTGCTAGGTACTCCAGAAAACACAGATTAGTGACACCCTTGCAGAACTTACATTGTTCCCAGGCAAAACAGTTCCCCATCTCCTCTTGTCAACAAAACCATGACAGAGCCAGAGTGAAAGGTCCCATTCTTAAGCAAGCTCTCGATGCTATCACCCCCTTCATTGTGGTTCCCAGTGCTTTACATCTACTTTCTGGGCCTTTGCCTCCTTTTCCTTGTATCATGACATTCACTGCCGGGTCTGTGCCTCAGACCTTGGCTGACAGGTGAAATTACTCAGACACAGGTATGCAGTGTAAGAGCAGCTAGGTGACTGCCTGGCTCTAGTGGCCAGAGAGCAGCCCTGAGAAGCTAGAGCTGCTTGCTTTTATTCAGTGCATGCACAATGCGGAAAACCTGGAGGCAACACAACCTGCAGGTAATTAACATTTATTGTTCCCCTTTCAGGGAACCTCATGCGCAAGGATGATCAAAGGTCAGTTCCTGGTCAATATAAGTAAACAAGCTTGATCAAGATAGCTTCCCCCTCAGTCCCTTGCACATACTCAGGGTTATAGAACAGCTGCCTTCAGCTATTCTCCCCCAGAGCTATGCGGAGCCTTCCAACCTTTCAGAAGACCTGCTCCTTTCCCTGTAATTTCTCCCACCACTCTGATCAATCTCCTACAATTGACACATGTCTTCCCTCCATTGCTGAAAAGCGAGCCTCATGAGGACAGAGGTTCTGTCTCCTGCTTTTCCATACCCCCCATGGCAACTTGCAGAGCACACGTGCTCAGTGCACTTTCAACAAAAGGATGTCCAAGTGGTGATGACTTCCCCGTCAAATAGATCTCACTGCAGCAGAGGAATTCCATTATCTGAGACAGGAATGTCCTTCTTGAAAGGGAACAGGCTTTGTTGAGTCATGAATAATACCACTGATATTCTTTGGGACCTCAGCTCTCTGACTGATATATAGGCATCTCCATAGGTAACCACACGAAGTGAACTTGGGTGTCAGCCTGAGCCAGAGTAAAAGGATTGGAGCACGTTTGCTATAGCCACTGAATGGGTCTGACCCAGGGATCAAACATCATGCAATATTCTGGTCTTAACGTTCACTACAAAGCACCTACCAAGTGCCAGGCATGGGGCTTAACACAGTAACAACTTCAAGGGATTCACTGTCTAATAAAAAAGACTGACTCATAATCAAATGAGGCCATGAGAACAGCTTCAAAACAGGTCTGTAGGAACACAGAGAAAAGGGAAAATCGGTTTCTGATATAAAGATTCTCAGGGAGATGCTGAGCTTTCTCTCTGGGTAAAGAAAGCCCAAGGAGGGAACTGGATACTGTACTTCACACAAGTGGCTTGTTCTTCCACTTCATTGCATTGGTTGGTATGGTCCTCTAATGTGAATCCTTCTCACTGTGAATCCTTCTCACTGCCTAGATTATGAGTCCCCTAAGGGCAAAAATTCTGTCTTTTGCTTCTCTTTCCTCTTCTTCCTAAGAAGAGATCTAGGTCAGACTCAACAGCTCATGCCTGCAATCCCAGCACTTTGGGAGGCTGAGGCAGGTGGATCACCTGAGGTCAGGAGTTCGAGACCAGCCTGGCCAACATGGTGAAACCCTGTCTCTACTAAAAATACAAAAATTAGCTGGTCATGGTGGCACATGCCTGTAAACCCAGCTACTCAGGAGGCTGAGGCCGGACAATCACTTGAACCTGTAGTGAGCCGAGATCGCACCATTGCACTCCAGCCTGGACAACAAGAGCAAAACTCTGTCTCAAAAAAAGAAGAAGAAGAAGAAAATGAGGTCTTCTAAACTGATAGTAAGAACTTCACCTTTATTTCTATTCTTAATTCCCCAAGGGTGGGCCTGGGATTTTGTTTCCTACCTTTCCCCTCACACCTGATCCTGACATGGGGCCCACTGTATGCTCAATCTTCATAGATGTGAGGTCTTGGGGTGACTAGTGGACAGGGGTGGTCTCAGCCAGGTCCAGGCAGCCTCATTCACTGGATGATGCAGGGCAAGGAGGCTGTCTTCATCTGGAGCTGACTTCTCATGATGAGAACTGGCAGTGGGTCTGGGGACTGTGAATATGAGAAGAGTGGTTGGAGCGGATGACTGGTACAACTCTTAATTTTTTCTCTTCATTCCCTTCTTTGTCTTTAGGCCAGCACCTACAGCTGGGGCCAGGATTGGGTAACCCCACCGCACAGACAATACATCTTTCAGATTGCTTGAGGCAGAAACACTTTAGTTTTAGTTCCAGAAGTTGATAACCTCTTGGAGACAATATTCTCTAGCCAATTAGGCTATCTTTTCTCTAATTTCTTTTTTTCTTTCTTTTCCCTTTTTTTTTTTTGAGACAGAGTCTTGCTCTGTTGCCCAGGCTGGAGTGCAGTGGCATGATCTCAGCTCACTGCAACCTCTGCCTCCCGGGTTCAAGCGATTCTCCTGCCTCAGCCTCCCAAGTAGCTGGGATTACAGGTACACGCCACCATCCCTGGCTAATTTTTGTATTTTTAGTAGAGACAGGGTTTCATCATGTTGGTTAGGCTGGTCTTGAACTCCTGACCTTGTGATCCTCCTGCTTTGGCCTCCCAAAGCTCTGGGATTATAGGCATGAGCCACTGCATCCGGCCCTTTTCTCTAATTTGTATGCTATCTTTCCCAAATCTAAATGGGGTATATTCAATACCCTAAGCACATTCCTGTTGTCCAGGAAGTGTACATGGCCCTTGTTACTCCATCTTTGCTTTGATGAAATACTAGATTATGTTTGCAGAAAGATGAATCATGCCACAGCCAAGGGAACACTTCTGAGAAAATCACTGTTAAAAGGATAATTGTAGTGTAGAAGGTCTCCAGTCTCCTCATATCATTCTTTTTTTCTTATTTTCATAAGGCAGGAAGAGCTCAAAGAGACTTTAAATCATTGATTGCTGGAACAATGGGTCAGGTACTGAGAAGGTGGAGTCTTTATAAATTGCAGTGGCTTCCTTGCCCCTATGCTTTGCACGGTTTGTGTGTAGGTGCTAGGATAAATCCTAGACTTCTTACTCTGGCATTTATGACTTATTTTAGCTGATATCAACCTAATCTCCATGTGCCTTCTCTTTTGTGCCACTTCTAGGAATGCAGAGTCTAGTAAAAAATGCAGATGTAAAAGAAAATTATAATTGAGAGTTGAATGCAGTGGTAGAGAGCAACACAGGGGATATAGAGTTGGGGCTGACTTATTTCATTTGAGGTAGCAGAGGGTAACAATTTTCAAGGTAAAATAAACTCAACTTACGGGTAATCAAGGAAGGGCTTCCTAAAGGAAGTGACACTTTGGCGAGTCTCAAAGAATTTGTAATCAGTAAGGGCTATGACAAGTGAAAGTGTGTGTGTGTGTGCGTGTGTGTGTGTGTGTGTGTGTGTGTGTGTGTGATTTCAAAAAATAGCATGCATGAAGGCCCAGAACTATGGAGAGGATTGAGATGTGGGGGAAATTACAAGTCAGGCCATGTGGCTGGGGCATGCGATTATTGTTGGAGAGTGGCTGGAAAGGGGAGAGTTAGAAGAGGACGGGGTAAATCAGAGATCCAAGTAAAACATCTGGGAAATAGAGGCTTTCAGGAAATAAGACACTGTGTGCAACCTGATGTAATCCTGTGCTGGAGACAACATTCAGAAATGAGAAAGTAGACAGAGCTGACTTGCAGCCCTGAAGGACAGGCTTTGTTTCAGCACCACGGCCAGCGGCTAGCACACTTGCACAGGATCTGAGGCAAAGCTCATTCTCTGATTTTGAGCTGCACCCTAAGATCTCAAAGCGCTAAGGAGTAGGAAGTGGAAGTGGCTGAAGAGTTGATGCTCAGACTCTGGTTATAACGAAGAGTGTGTGTATGTTCATTTATTCTTGGATGAGTGCAGAAGATGCTCTTAAGAAATTAATGCTGTGATTCAAAATTGGGTAGAGTTAGCAGACATTTTTCCTGAATTCATTTCTGAATTTCCTGATTCATTCTTTCTGAAGCACAGAAGAGTCAAACTTTGAACCCCTACTGTATCCTATGATGAAAATGTTCTCTTTCATGGATGTGATTTAATTACTTTATTGGTTATATGAACCAGCTCAGAGACTAGAATCCTTGGTCTCAGCTTGAAGCTAAGGCCTCTCAAAAGAAAACTGCTCATTACAGTCAAAAAGTCAGGATGTACAATGGAAAATTCTCAGTTTGTTGAGGATACAATTCATTTGAACATTTTTTGACATAAGGTAAAAATAATAACTATCTCCAACACCCTTATCTTCACACACCTTCCATTTTTGGCAATTCTAAAGAAGTATTTGTTCCCTTTCTTCTGCCTGAGTTAGACTCTGTCCTGTTCCTTCTCTCCTATGAGCATCCACAGGCCTGAGTATGTAACTGAATCATTATTCAGCAAGCTCTCAACTTTTTAATTCATCTGTTCTCTGGCCTTTAAGAAAGTGGCCAGGCACAGTGGTTCACACCTGTAATCCCAGCACTTTGGAGGCCGAGGTGGGCAGATCACAAGGTCAAGAAATTGAGACAATCCTGGCCAACATAGTGAAACCCCGTCTCTACTAAAAATACAAGAATTAGCTGGGTGTGGTGACTCATGCCTGTAGTCCAGCTACTCGGGAGGCTGAGGCAAGAGAATCACTTGAGCCTGGGAGGCAGAGGTTGCAGTGAGCCAAGATCGTGCCACTGCACTCCAGCTTGGCGACAGAGTGAGACTCTGTCAAAAAAAAAAAAAGTAAGACTTGTTGGAGAGGAGTAGAAGTTTGCTTGGATTAGACAGGACTGGTGGAAAGAAATGGGTTCTAACCTGAGATCCACAAGAGGGCTTCCTTCCATGGGTCATGGATTCTCAGAAATTCTTTGTAAATATTAAGCAAAAAGAACAAAGAGCTAAAAACAGAACTACCATTCAACCTAGCAATCTTATTACTGGGTGTATTCCCAGAGAAATATAAATCATTCTACCAAAATATGCATGTAATTGTATGTTCATTGCAGCAGTATTCACAGTAGCAAAGATGTGGACTCAACATAGATGTCCATCAATGGTGGACTGGATGAAGAAAATGTGGTACATATACACCATAGAATACCATGCAGCCATAAAAAAGAATGAAATCATGTCCTTTGCAGCAATGTGGACTCAGCTGCAGTCCATTATCCTAAGCAAATAAGCATAGAAACAGAAAACCAAATACCACATGTTTTCACTTATAAGTGGGAGCTAAACATTGAGTACATAGGGACACGAAGAGGGGAACAATAGACACTGGAGCCTACTTGAGGGTAGAGGGTGGGAGGCGGGTGAGGATTAAAAAGCTACCTATCGGGCACTATACTTGCTATCTATTTTGGTGATGAAATCATTTGCATACCAAACTCCAGTGACTTGCAATTTACCCATGTAATAAAACTGTACATGGGAGGCCGAGGCAGGCAGATCACGATATCAGGAGTTCGAGATCAGCCTGGCCAACATGGTGAAATCCCGTCTCTGCTAAAAATACAAAAATTAGCCAGGCATGGTGGCATGCAGCTGTAATCCCAGCTACTTAGGAGGCTGAGGCAGGAGAATCGCTTGAACCTGGGAGGCGGAGGTTGCAGTGAGCCGAGATCGCACCACTGCACTCCAGCCTGGGGGACAGAGTGAGACTCTGTCTCAAAACAAAACAAAAACAAAACAAAACAAAACAAAAAAACTGTACGTATACCTCCTGAACTGAAAATAAAAGTTAAAAAAAAGAAAAATATTACAAAATGGTGTGTGTGTGTGTGTGTGTGTGTGTGTGTGTGTGTAGGGGTGTGTGTGTGTGTGTGTAGGGGTGTGTGTGTGTGTGTAGTGGTGTGTGTGTGTGTGTAGGGGTGTGTGTGTGAGTGTGTGTGTGTGTGTGTGTGTGTAGAGGTGGGTGTTTATGATCATGTTTCAAGTAAGCAAGACCATAACTTTCTTTAGATGCTCTAAGAGGCTCATGACTCCTCCAAATGAGTTAAAAACTACAGGATAGAGAAGAATAGATTTAGAGGACTCAACCGTCTCTGGCTAAAGTTGCTACCCACATCCCTACCCCACTCCTCATTCTAAAAGTAAGCTCTAAGGTGGGCTAGACTGTGAGCCACATGTAGGGAAAGTCTGTTTATATTTCCTACTGTTAAAGGTCCAGAACCTAGAATTACACTTGGCTTGTAGAGTGTCTTTGAATAAATTCATGGGCTTGATTGGTAGGATGGGGGCAAGTAAGCAGTTTTCAGGGATTCCCATGCAAGAAAACAGGAAGAAAACCCAGATTCCTAAGGGTTTGGTAGAGGCCTGAGCTGCTCTGGTATGGTCCCAAGTGACCAGGTCAGCAGTGCTGCTGCATAGAATGGCACCTGGTGCTGGGCTTGATCTATTAATAATGGTGATGTCAGACACATATCCAGGCTCCCAGCAGTGCAAAGCACTCTCATATCAAATACTTGATTTTTCCTCAAATCCTGGGATATAGACAAGGCCCTTAGGATAACATATGAGAGAAAAACAGTAATAGTCATGATAGTGGCAGTAGGGGTGGTGAGTGATTTATTCATAGGTCTTCTTCTCACATCCATCAGTGCTTTCCTGGAGCTCCAGAAAGGAGTTTCCTCCATATGCTTCTTTCCCGCTGTCTACAGGAAAGTTCACATCATTCAGATCAGGTCACCTGAGTGGGAAGACCTGGGAAGACAATGAATGTGTGTCTCTATGTTGTATCAGGAAGTAGGGGTGGGCAAGGTGTGGGAGGGAGAGCTGAGCTTTGCTACTGACTCTATCATATTGTCTTTAGGTCAAAGAGTCTTATGAAAGCTGAGGATAGAAGCTCACTGCCATTTAAACCACGGGAAGAGGGGAAGAAGAAAATCAGCAAGGGGTTAGAGAGGTCTGTTTGTGGAAGAGGCCAGGCTCAGCCCTGCCTGGGGCCTCAGTCTCCTGATGGGGCAAGGACAAAAGGGGAAAGTGTGAACATGTAATATGCCTTTCCTGTGTGGGAGTCCTTACGACATGGTTTGCATCAGAGGCTTCATTCATTCATCCCAAAGACACTAAAGGGTACATGCTGCCATATCCATTGCAGAGATGAGAAAACAGGCAAAGAGGGTGTGAAGTGGCTTGCCCTTCCACCAACAGCTCATTTCAGAGCTAGGAGAAAGACATTGGGGGCAGACAACCTCAAAGTTTTCTTCCATCCTGAAAGGTTGGTTCAAGGAAAATGTAGTAGAATGAATAATGCCCTTCCCGCCACGACCACCACCAAAGATATGTCCTGGTCCCCAGACCCTGTGAATATGTTACCTTATACGGCGAAAGAGATTTTGCAGATGTGATTCTGTTAAGGATTTTGAGACGGGGAGATTATCTTGTATTATCAGGGTGACCCCAGTATACTCACAAGGATACTTAAAAGTAAAAGGAAGTAGAAGAGTTCATCAGAGGAAGATGTGACTGCAGAAAAAAGGCACAGAGATGCATTGCTGCTGCCTTTGAAGATGGAGGAAGGGGCCACAAGCCAAGGAATGCAGCCAACCTTTAGAATCTGGAAACTGATTTCCCCTAGAGCCTCCAGAAGGATCACCACAGCCTTCCCAAGGCTTCCGTTTTAGCCCAGTGGGACACATGTCAGACTTTCAACGTGTCAGAACTGTGAGATAATAAATTTGGGTTATATTGAGCCACTAGGCTTGTGCTCTTTTGTTCCAGCAGCCATAGAAAACTAACAGAGATCACAGATGAAAGGAAGCCGGGAGTCGTGGTAGAACAGCTGTGGATAGCTGGGGGTGGGTGGGTCAGGAATGGCCCCTCTGAGAACGTGGCATGGAGTTGAGATCTGAATGGCACACAAGAGCCAATTCTAAAAGATCTGAGAGAACAGCTTTCCAGGTAGAAGGCACAGAGCAAAGGACCTGCACTGATGATGAATTGGTGAGTCCAGGAACAGTGAGGTCAGTGTATAGACACTTAGGACTCATGGCCTGGTCTACGGACCAGCAGCATTGACATCTCTTAGGGGAGTGGTTACACAGGCAAATGTCCTGGTCCCATCTTTTTTTTTTTCTTTCTTTCTTTTTTTTGAGACGGAGTCTTGCTCTGTTGCCCAGGCTGGAATGCAGTGGCGTGATCTTGGCTTACAGCAACCTCTGCCTTCTGGGTTCAAGCAATTCTCCTGCCTCAACCTCCCAAACAGCTGGGATTACAGACATCTGCCACCACGATTGGCTAATTTTTATATTTTTAGTAGAGACAGTGTTTCACCATGTTGGCCAGGCTGGTCTCGAACTCCTGACCTCAGGTGATCCTCCCGCCTTGGCCTCCCAAAG
Organism: Homo sapiens; assembly: GCF_000001405.40. NCBI lineage: Eukaryota > Metazoa > Chordata > Mammalia > Primates > Hominidae > Homo > Homo sapiens. Next base: position 6,265,090 of record NC_000017.11, on the reverse strand, counting down.
TGTTGGGATTACAGGCATGAGCCACCACTCCCAGCCGTCCTGGTCCCAACTTACACCCATTAAATCAGAACCTCCGGAGACAGAGTCCAGGAGGATGCTTTTTGTGCAATGATCACACTTTTTTTTTTTTTCAAATATCACACAGAAAAGTTGAAAGTACAGTACAAAAAACTTCCGTTTTCTTGAAGCATTGGAGAGCAAAGTGCTGACTGGATGCCCCATTACTGTCTAATACTTCAGTGAATATTTTCTATAAATAAGGGCCTTCTCTTACACAATCACAATGCAAGCATCAAAATCAGGAGATTAACAATGACACATGGATGAATCTAATCCTCAGGGCCCATTCCACTTTCTCCAGTTATTCCTATAATGTGTTTTATAGCAGCAAGATCCACTACAGAATCATGTTGCATTTAGTTCTCATGTCCCATTAGTCTCTTTTCATCTGAAGAAGTTCCTCAGTTTTTCCTTGACTCTAAAGACCTTGACACGTCTGCAGATTACAGGACAGTTATTTTGGGTCTGTCTGACGCTTCCTCATGATTAGATCCCGTTTATGGATCATTGGCAGAAATAGCTCAGAAATGACGCTGAATTCTTCCCCTGACGTCCTATCCAGGGACACGTGATTTTAATTTGCCCCATTACTGGAGATGCTCACGCTGATCACTTAATTAAGTTGCTGTCTGCCAGACTTCTTCACTATAAAGTTACTCTTTTCTTCTTTGTAATTAATACGTGTTTTGCAGAGGCACTTTGAAATTACATGATTATCATATTTCTCACTACATTTTCAGTTTATTTGCTTATTTATTTCTGTCTTCATGGGCCCATGGTTTCCAATCCTATTCAATGGGTCATAGTCCACCACTATCATTGTCTAATTTGGTACTTGAATTGTCTCATGGTCCACCAATGGGAGCTCCTTCAAGCTGCCCTTTGTGCCCCGTGACATGTACCCACCATTCTTGGAGCACTTCCTTGCTTTTTGGCACAATAAGACCTTCCACCTTCCTCGTGTAGTTTCCCAGTCTTGGAATCCGCCATTTCTCCAAGAAACCCTTTTTCTTGTTAGTGGAAAATGCCATTTAGATCTAGGTGCTGGACATGTTCATTGCTATGGGACCGTTGTTGCATCCAGGCTTTCTCAGAGCAGAGCTAAGAAACATGTGTAGTAGACATACACACATGGCATTTATGCCTATTTCTATATCTATCTCTAAACATTAAAAAACATGAGTTTACCTCAATACATCCAATTCAAATTCAACATCACAAGGTTCATTCCAGTCTTCTTCTCCCTTTTGATGTTCATAACTCCCTTCCTTAATAATAACAATTCTGGTGTGTTAGTTTCCTAGGGCTATTGTAAAATAAAACAGTGCCACAAACTGGGTAGCTTAAATAACAGAAATCAAATTTATTGCCTCATAGTTCTGGATGGAGGCAAGGTGTCCAAGATCAGGCTATTGGCAGGGTTGGTCCCTTCTCTTGACATGAGAGAGAATCTACTCCATGCCTCTTCCCTAGCTTCTGGTGACTGCTGGCAATTTTTGCCATTTCTTGGCTTATAGACACATCATTGCAATCTCTGTCTTCATTTTCACCTGGACACTTCACTGTGTGTGTGTCTCTGTGTCCAACTTTGCCCTTTTAATAAGGATATCAGTCATATCGGATTAGAGGTCCACTCCACTGTGGTATAACCTCACCTTAACTATTAATAATTGCATCTTCAGGCTGGGTGCGGTGGCTCATTTCAGAGCTATTTCTGCCAATGATCCATAAACAGGATCTAATCATGAGGAAGGGCCTGTAATCCTAGCACTTTGGGACGCCAAGGTGGGTGGATCACGAGGTCAAGAGATTGAGACCATCCTGGCCAATATGGTGAAACCCCCGTCTCTACTAAAAATACAAAAAATTAGCTGGGAGTGGTGGTGCACACCTGTAGTCCCAGCTACTCGGGAAGCTGAGGCAGGAGAATTGCGTGAACCTGGGAGGCAGAGGTTACGATGAGCTGAGATCGCGCCACTGCACTCTAGCCTGGCAACAGAGTGAGACTCCCTCTCAAAAAAAAAAAAAAAAAAAAAAGCATCTTCAATGACCCTATTTCCAAGTAAGCTCACATTTTGAGGTACTGGGGTTTAGAATTTTAACATGTAAATTTTCAGAAGGATGCAATTCCACCCACAACACCTGGCTTCTGTTACCCTTAGTGTTTACTTAACAATCCTCCTCAGTGTGATCGAACTTCCATCTCACTGCCTCCTTCTTCCCCACACAGGACTCTCTTTTCCTGCTTGGGCTCTGACCCTGTGTGGATGCTGCTGTTTCCCTACCTGAGCTCTGACACCCCCACCAGTCACTCATCTGCAGGGATGACCATCTCTCTCACTTGGGCTTGGGCTCCCCAAACAGGGCTGCCCCCATCACGGGGCTCAGGATCTGACATGCATCAGGCCACTCACCCCTCGTAGGAATGTCCTCAGCCAGTCTGGTGCTGTCACCTCTGCCAGGATGCCTCTGCAGTGGCACCCTCCTCCCCCTGCGTAGGTGCTGATATTCCACACCGTCTTCCTCCCACCACATAGATGACCTCCTCACCCTGTTGATGCCCTGACACCCTTTGCTGGGGAGCCTCCCAGTACCATCACTGTCCTGGCCTCAGCTCTGGGCCATGATGGCTGCCCTCCCTTCACTGCAGAGGCTTCTCTTCCCGTGCTACACCTAACGGCTTTAGGACTGAATGTCAGGAAGGAAGGGCATAGGAGAAGGCAAAGGAGGGGGAAGGTGAGGAGCAGGAAGAATAGGAATTCGTGCTTCAACAAACTCTCTGGATAATTCTTATGCAGGCTAAAGCACACAACTTGGTGGCCAGTAGGCGGTGGGAGATAGCACAGGCTGGGGCTGGAGACTGGGCAGGGGCCAGATCTTGGAGGGTCTTGTGGGCCTTAGTAAGGAGGCTCTTATTTTATTTATTTTCTTTTTTTTATTATGATACTTTACGTTCTAGGGTACATGTGCACAACGTGCAGGTTTGTTACATATGTATACATGTGCCATGTTGGTGTGCTGCACCCACTAACTTGTCATTTACATTAGAAATATCTCCTAATGCTATCCCTCCCCCCTCCCCCCTCCCCCCACCCCACAACAGGCCCCGGTGTGTGATGTTCCCCACCCTGTGTCCAAGTGTTCTCATTGTTCAATTCCCACCTTTATTTTATTTATTGTTTAAAGAGAACTGACAAAAACAAGCTTATCTGGGGGAAGAAATGCCACTGTGAACAATATGAATTAGCTTCAAGTCTCTCCTCCCAAAAACAGGAGTCGTCTGTTACCAAGCGAATCACCACCCCTCCCCTCCACTGTCCTTCCCTTCAGCGTCTAGCATGCCTAAGCCTCTCCATTCTAACACCACGGAAGCACTTTCTGATCAGTCTGCTGCTTGCAGCTCTGACTCTCTCTCCCTGTCTTTCCTTTCCCAGCCATGTCTCTTGCAAGCGTTTCTAGATTCTTCATTGTCCTGTCCTAAAATCCTATTCACACCTCGACCCCCATGCAGTGTGGCTTCCACTCAGTTTTGTTTTTATTTTATGTGCCTTGAGAATAAGGGCTTTAAGAAGATGAACATGACTTATGTTTTGAAAAGATCCTTCTGGCTACTTTGCAGGGAATGGATTTGAAAAGCCAAGAGAGGAAGCAGGTTGCTCAGTAAGAGGCTGCTGCATCACCAGCTGAGAGAGGATGTTGGTATGGACAGAGTGGCAACATGGGACCTGGAGAAAAGAAGGCAGACTGGGGATATATTTGGAAGGGCTGGCAGGGCCTTCTGGGGTCGATGGAGGGATAAAGGAAGGAGAGCAGTCACGGATGACATGGGGGGGGTCTTGGCCTGAAGAGTTGGGTGGACGGCAGTGGCAGGAGAGGACTCAAAGAGGAACAAATTTGGGGAAGCAGGTTTCTGGGAACCCTGTTTGGGTCATACTTTGAGACCCTTATCTACATGATGATATCAAGTAGGCAGGTTAGATATATCGAATTGGGGTTTAGAGAAGGGGTCAGGGCTGAAGATCCAAATCCACACGTTGAATTCAAAGTCATCAGCAACTGCCTCCTGGAGGAGCCTCTACAAGTGTTAGCTTTGAAAAATGACTTCACTGTGACGTGGTAAGGGAGGCTGGGAACAAGGTCACGGGAGTCATGGACACACCGGCTTCATGGCGTCCATCAGGGAGGGGTTGTCAGCCAGCTGCAAGTCACCACCCCCTCCTCTCCATGGTTCTTCCCTTCAGCATTTAGCATGCCTAAGTCTCTCCATTCTAATGCCACGGAAGAACTTTCTGATCAGTCTGCCTTCTGCAGGCAGCTGGAGGTGGACAGCTGCAGGTCACCACTTCCCAACACTGACCTGACACTGACTTGCAGAATGGAAGAAGAGCCGACATCCTCGCATGTATTTGTTTCCAGGACAGCCGCTCAAAGGTGGGACCACTGCCAGGCCTATCAGTTCAACCCCTAAATTGAAGAAGGAAGTTTTCTCCAGCTTGATGGTAAGTTCAAGACCTGACTCGGAGCCCCAGGCAGTTCCCGTCACTCTCTAATTCAGAGATTCTGCCATACTATGCCATTAGTGGCCACCTCCATAAGCACAGGGCACTTCAGAGTTTACATATCATGCTGACATCCATGACCCCATCTAATCTTCACACCAGCTCTTGGAGGGTTGGAGAGATTTTTTTTAAGACTTATTTTACAGATGAGGAAACTAAGGCTCAGAGGTTAAGCCATTTGTCCAAGATCACACATTCGGAACATAGTCGAGTCAGGACTTCAAACCAGGACTGTCTGCTTCTAAAATCTTAACAAACCCTCTGCCTCTATTACAGTTCATGGCCTACTACCTTGGTCGCTGCTAAGATGTGAGAGCTCCTTGCTGGCAACGCTTCCTCAAGAAGCCAGCCAGGTGCTACTTTCTCCCCAGCCTTGGGTCTTCCCCTTGCTGAGAGATCGCATTCTTTTGTAACTACCTGGCTCACCTGCGGCTTCATTGTCTCCTGTTTTTTTTTTTTGAGATGGAGTCTTGCTATGTCACCCAGGCTGGAGTGCAGCGGCGTGATCTCGGCTCACTGCAACCTCCGCCTCCCGGGTTCAAGCAATTCTCCTGCCTCAGCCTCCTGAGTAGCTGGGATTACAGGCACCTGCCACCACGCCCAGATAATTTTTGTATTTTTAGTAGAGACGGCGTTTTGCCATCTTGGCCAAGCTAGTCTCGAACTCCTGACCTCATGATCCACCTGCCTCGGCCTCCCAAAGTGCTGGGAATATAGGTGTGAGCCACCGTGCCTGGTCCCTGGTCTGTCTTTAACCACTCTCTGCTAGTAAGAGCCGGATCCCTCATTCCACAACTTTGGCTAGTTACTCACAATTCCTTCAGTCTCACCTCCCCAGGGCTTCCTGAGCACTCCAATATGTCCACCTGACCTCTTTCAGGGAGGTCTCCCTGATTTCTCTGGCCTCCTGCCCTTCTCCAGGGGTCTTCAGACTGCAGTAGCTCTGATCTCCTCTCCCTCATCTGTCGTGTGCCTATGGCACATGTTACTCTACCAAGCCATACAACATGGGATTATTCACACATGGTCCCATCCATAGCAACTCTTCTGACCACAGTTACCTCCATCTCAGTGTCTTCAAGGTCCAATTCAACATCCCTCCTTAATCCAGGGGAATAGATTCATCTTTCTCTGATTCAGCAGAAGCAAATCAATCAAATATGGACTATAAGTTGCAGACACTCATGGGACCTCAAAGGTCCCCTACTTCTACCTTCTATCTTATGCTATATTAAGCTTGCCCAACCTGAGGCCTGCAGTCCAGATGGCTTTGAATGTGACCCAACACACATTTGTTAAGTCTCTTAAAACATCATGAGATTTTTTTTTTTTTGAGACAGAGTCTCACACTGTTGCCCAGGCTGGAGTGCAGTGCTGTGATCTCAGCTCACTGCAACCTCCGCCTCCCGGGTTCAAGCGATTCTCCTGCCTCAGCCTCCCAAGTAGCTGGGATTACAGGCGCCCGCCACCATGCCCAGCTAATTTTTTGTATTTTTACAAAATACAGAGATGCCGTTTCATCATGTTGGCCAGGCTGGTCTCAAACTCCTGACCTCGTGATCCGCCCACCTTGGCCTCCCAAAGTGCTGAGATTACAGGCATGAGCCACTGCATCAGGCCCATTATGAGATTTTTTTTGTGATTTCTTTTTTGTGTGATTTTTTTTAGCTCATCAGCTATCGTCAGTGTTAATATACGACATGTGCAGCCCAAAATGATTCTTCTTACAGTGTGACCCAGGGAAGCCAAAAGACCAGACATCCCTCTGTTACACTTTCCACTCCAACATTCTCCCAAAGTCAAGCCTCTCCTGACACCTGGAGACTCGCTAACTCTTAAGGGAAAGTCATGCCTTCTCTGGACAGCTCTCTTACAAACTTTTTCCTTTCCCCCCACCTCAAAATGTGCCTACCAGCAACAGCCTCCTCTCCCTGCAGGCCACCCAGGATGGGGCCAGTCCTGCTCCAGGGTGGCATTCAGAGGTGGAAAGGCATGGTCCTGACCCCGAGCCTGCTCTTCTTCAGACAAAACAACTTTTCCACCCTGTATTTCAGCCCCCATCTGCTCCTCTATCCTGGCCCCTTTCCCAAAAGATGCCCCGGTTTCTTTCGTCCTAGCAACTCTTCTTACCTTCCACACCTCGATGCAAATTCAGACAAAATGCAGCAAGTATTTACTGAGCACTATCTCTTTGCCAGGCACTGGCCTTGGAGCTGAGGATGCAGCAGTAAATTTAACAGACAGAAGTCAAGGTGAAGCTCCCATCCTGGGGGCCAGCTGCATCTACCATCATTGGAGTCTGCAACCTAACTCGTGTTTTTGACAATCAGCCTCAAAATCATGGTTATACATAAGTGTCAGGCACTGTGCTCGGCACTGGAGGTGCAAAGGTAAACAGAATATTGTTCCTGCCTTGAAAGCCCATAGCCCCATTGGCTTAAACAACCTGATTAACATGCCTAGCTTGAATCTCTCAATCTCTCTCTCTGTCTCTCTCTGTCTTTTACACACACACACACACACACACACACACACACACGCGTATCAGTTGCAGGAAATCTACCAGCGTCCAGTCAAAGTAGGCAAATATGTGCAGATTCCAGGCATCAGTGCCAACCTGAGAAACTTGCCTTCATCTCCCGTCACCTCCCCACCCCCTCACTGCCCTTCCCCAGAAAATTCTGGGAGCCAGGTTCCTGGCAGCAGCCTCCAAGGGGGACGTAAGGACAGGCCTATTGAACTGCGTTGCTCTGGACTAGATAAATAGTTATCACCAGCCAACGTGGTTAAATAATCATCAAACCACGTAATTCAGAAATCATGCTCCTCGAGAGTTCCCCATTTAATACCCGACAGAACACGCTAATCCGCCGCACAAGACTGCGTTTTACTTTTCTAGACAGGAAGCATTTTCTTCAGTCCCATAATGACTTCCCTTGACATAATAATGAAGGAATGTGAATTTAAAACAGGCTGAGAGGCTGGGCCTTCTTTGTTATTAGGGTTGGGGGCTGGTGGCTCGGAAATTGCCTGAGTAACTGCTGACTTGCTGAACTGTGTCGTCATTGAATTCACTGCTTACAAAGACTGAAATTTACCAAATTAAATTTTAGTGAGTAATTTCTTTTCACATAAACGGCAGAAATTAAACCATTGTGGATGTGGTAGATAGGCCGTCACACGGAGCTGACATTACATTGGGGAGTGCTGTGAAGTCAGGCAGGAGGAGATCAAGACTTGGAGGGCAGGAAACCCCTCTTTGGACTGGGGGAGGGGCGATCCCAAGCCCCAGAATCAGGCAGGAGAGGTTCAAATCCTGGGTCTCCCACTCCCTATTGATGTGACCCAGGGGGTTCTTATCTGTGAAATGGGCATGATGAGGGGCTATCTTAGGGATGCAAAATGGATTACATCTATAAAAGCACTTGGCTATCAGTAAAGGTCTGCATACATGTCGGTGGTTATTATGTATGTAGCTTCTAGCCTGAGGACGTTGAACTGGGAGAAATCAGGAATAAGAAAGGAAGCTCCCTGGAGTACCCTACCTTTGGCAAAGAGGTAGGTAGCTAAAGTTAGCTACTTTCTTTCTTTCCTTTTTTTTTTTTTTTTTGAGACAGAGTCTTGCTTTGTCGCCCAGGCTAGAGTGCAGTGGTGCGATCTCAGCTCACTACAACCTCCGCCTCCTGGGTTCCAGCGATTCTCCTGCCTCAGCCTCCTGAGTAGCTGGGATTACAGGCACGTGTCACCACGCCAAGCTAATTTTTGTATTTTTAGTAGAGATGGGGTTTCACCACGTTGGTCAGGCTGCTCCCTAACCTCTTGATCCGCCCACCTCGGCCTCCCAAAGTGCGGGGATTACAGGGGTGAGCCACCGTGCCCGGCCAAAGTTGGCTACTTTCTAACCCATCACGTAGCACAGAGAGGACTCAGGGGGCCCAATGCACCTGTGGAAATCAACTTCATTGGACACAACCGAAAAGTCAATTTGTCCAGTGGATTGATGGTCAGTTGGATTGATTAACTACAGCCAGACCAGTTGCTGTGAGGCCAAAACAATAGATGAAAAACGGGATATTTGACATCTCTGTCCTTACTGGTGTTGAAAAAATAATGATAAGCAACAGTCCTTTCTTATGTATGTATGGAACAAGGAGGTGGTATTATTGTTTAAAAACGTTCCCTCCCTCTTCTCCACATACATGGGAGTTTTTTTGCTTACTCCTTGGCTTGGGGCTTGGCTATGTGACCTACTTTGGAAGATTAACATACATGACGCAAACAAGGACGTGAAATGTGCTTGTGCAGCTGGGCTCACCCGCTTGCACCTCTGCCATCGCCACGAGAAGAGCTTCTCACCAGCAGATGCTTCCCCTGTATCCCAGGCTCCAGGATAAACATACAAGGAACACACCAGAGCCCAATGTATGGCAAGGAACCCATTCTAACCAAACCCATAGCCTAAAGCAAAGCCACTCAGCCAGTCTAGCCTAGATCAGACAAGTCTTCACCAACCCCCAGATACGTGAAGTAAATACATGCTTATTGACTCTGGGATTTTTTTGTGGTTGTTTGTTATACAGCAAAGGTTGACTGACACAAAGTCTGTTCATATCCACTGGCTCATTCTATCTGCAGAAAACTTCCATAGTAGAGATAGGTTAAGTATTTTTGTTTCTCTTTTTTTAGATGAGGAAACAAGCTTAGAGAGAATAAATGACTTACTAATGGCATGAAGGTAATCAGAGATAGAACCTAGGCTTTTAGTGCTGAGTGTTCTTTTTTATTTTTTTCCCATGTACAGTGATGGCTTCTCTACCTGGGAGCTGGGAGCTGGGGAGATCCCTGGGTTCCCAAGAATAGAAAAATAAGCTTCTCCCAAGACTTCTTAATTTCACCAAAGACCAATTTGTCAGCAGGGCTGGAAGGGCTGAGGGACCTCCCAGGGACAGTTAATAATTGGCCTATGGCTCACACCACAGCATTTTCTATGATTTGGGTTGGTGTCAAAGTGTCACTGGGCAGAGATAGAAAGCACTTTGTCATGTATAAATGTTACAGACAATAATGCCAGCTACTAAATAGTATGTCATTCCTAATGATATTGTCAGCCTCTAATCAGTCTAATTTATATTGTCAACATGATGTAATAGTCCACCCGGCATGGGCCTTTAGAAATACGAGATCCAGCCATACGAGAAACCAAAGTGAATTTCCACCAGTTCTGACTCTGAAAATCAAATTAAGATTGCTGGCTCCCACTTCAGAGGATCAGAGAGAATGTGTATAAAATACCCAGCATAGGGCCTGATACCTAGTAGGCACGCCACGGGGCAGCTGGTGGTGTTCCGTGCTGTCATGCAGTTATTTGCATTAGCTAGTGATGGGAATCTTGCCCTTGGAGCCACAGAGAGGAGAGACGGGCCCCAGAAATGCCCTTGCCCCTCACTCTCCTTCCCAGCTCCCCTCTGTGGTCACTGTGTTTCTTGTTTTGTTTTGTTTTTTAAGGAAACTGCTGCATAGTTTACAAAGGTGCCTGCACATGTGGTATTTATGTCCCCCTGCAGCCCCAGAAGCTGTAGGAGATAAGACAGGAGGGCACCTACACGAAGAAGGATCACCTGAGGTCAGGAGTTCGAGACCAGCCTGACCAATATGGTGAAGCCCCGTCTCTAATAAAATACAAAAAGTAGCTGGCCGTGGTGGCAGGTGCCTGTAATCTCAGCTACTTGGGAGGCTGAAGCAGGAGAATCTCTTGAACCCAGGAGGTGGAGGTTGCAATAAGCTGAGATTGTGCCATTGCCCTCCAGCCTGGGCAACAAGAGCGGAAACTCTGTCTAAAAAAAAAGAGAGAGAGAAGGTGTTTAGTAAAGAAAAACTCATATATTCTCAGCACTCCATGTACAACAAAACAAAACAAAACAAAACAAAACCCTTCCTTTCCTACCTCAGTAAATGGCAGCGCCACTACCCAGAAATCTGGGCTTCATTCCTTACTCGTGTCCTCCTCTCACCCCCACATCTATCACTGTAAAATACTGCAAAGCCCTCTGTTTGTCTCTGTTCCCTGCTATTACCCTTGTGCAAGCCTCTGCTAGATCAACCTCCTCACAGAATTCCATGCTTTTGTTCAATTTAACCTCCACACCATGGCCAACATCATGGGTTTAGGTCAGATACTAAATCATGACACTCTTCTGCATAAAATTCTTGGCACTTGGTTGCCCTCCAAACTCCTGACTGTGGCCTATGTATGAGTCAGTGTTCATCCAGGAAAACAAAATCCATGCCAGATGGATATTAACAGGAAAACGCTAATACAGGGAGCAAGCTACCAAGGTGTGCAAGGAGCTGAAAGGGCGACAGGGAAGGCGAGATGGCCCAGAGAAGGGAGAGAGCCGCTCCACCCCAGAGCTGTGGACAAAGGAAGGAGCCGGTGTGACTGGAGCCCAGGAGCCAGGGTCACCTGGTGGGAGCAGAGCCTGTGGAAGGGGATGTCTGATAGAAAGTGGAGCCACAGACAAAGGGAATCAGCCATTTCTACAGATTCTGTCCAAGGCAGACAGCATGAACGCAATACCATGGCACTTCCTTTGCCTTACCTTTCCATCTCCTCAACCCAGCAATCCCGTGTCTACGCCATCTGTCCTAGAGAGCATTGTATTTGTGTACACAGGGAATGGTGTACAGTCATATTTTGTAAAACACTTTGAAATTCCACAAAGCTAGAGGTGAGTCTCGGTGTTCAGAAACAGGAAAATGGATACATAGGCTGTGGTCTATTTTTTTTTAATTTCAAAAATATTTAGATTCAGGGTGTACATGTGTAGGCTTGTTACATGGGTATATTGTGTGATGCTGAGGTTTGGGCTTCCAAGGATCCCATCACCCAAGTAACGAACATAGTGTCTGATAGTTTTTCAACCCTTGTCCTCCTCCCTACCTACCCCAGCATTTATTGTTCCCATCTTTGTGTCTGCGGGTACCAAATGTTTAGCTCCTACTAATAGTGAGAATGGGCAGTATTTGGCTCTCTGTTTCTGCATTAACTGGCTTAGGATAATGGCCTCCAGCTGCATCCACGTTGCTCCAAAGGACATGATTTTATTCTTTTTTATGGCTGTGTAGTATTCCATGGTGGATATGCACTACATTTTCAAAGTTTAACCCACTGTGGTTGGGCACCTGGATTGATTCCATGTCTTTGCTATTGTGAATAGCATTGCAATGAACATACGAGTGCACGTGTCTTTTTGGTAGAATGATTTATTTTCTTTTGGATATACACCCAGTCATGGGATTGCTGGGTCAAATGGTAGTTCTGTTTTAAGTTACTTGAGACATCTCCAAACTGCTTTCAACAGAGGCCGAACTAATTTACATCCCCACCAACTGTGGTCTAATCACACACCAGACTACGCTCTACAGGTAACATGAATGGTGTGTGTAAAAACCACAAACAAAGGAACACAGCTGAGCTGGTCCTGTGTGGGTTTATTGTCACATCTGTTCCCTGCCCTTGCTCCCTTCTTCCTGGCAGGGAAGGCTGCCAGGGAGGCCGAGCCTGGTCCACTGGGTTTCCCGGCTCCATTGCAACTGGTGTCCACCAAAGTTGGGCACAGGCAGGAGATTGGAAGGTGAGGGGAACAATCCTTGTCCTCCTCTCTCCCTTTAAACAGAGCCAAGCTGTTTAAACTTTCATCAGATACTGACAGATTGTCCTTCAAAAAGCCTGTACCCATGTATATACTCCCACCGCAAGTGAGGAGAGAAGTGGCCGTCTCTCCACGCCCTGACCAGCACTTTATGTTACAACATTTGAAAACTAATAGGTGGGTAGTGGACCCTTGTCATTGCTTTAGGGTGTATCTCTCTGCTTACTAAAGAGATTGAACAATGTGTCCTGTGCCATTGACCATTTGTAGTTCCCTGTGCTGCGGGTAGATTTCTTTTTCTTTTATTTCTGTTTCTTTTCTTTTTTTTTTTTTTTTGAGACGGAGTCTCGCTGTCGCCCAGGCTGGAGTGCAGTGGTGCAATCTTGGCTCACTTCAGGCTCCACCCGCCGGGGTTCACACCATTCTCCTGCCTCAGCCTCCCGAGTAGCTGGGACTACAGGCGCCCACCACCTCGCCCGGCTAATTTTTTGTATTTTTAGTAGAGACGGGGTTTCACCGTGTTAGCCAGGATGGTCTCGATCTCCTGATCTCGTGATCCACCCGCCTCGGCCCCTCAAAGTGCTGGGATTACAGCCGTGAGCCACAGCGCCCGGCCTGTTTCTTTTTTTTTTTAGACGGAGTCTTACTCTGTCACCCAGGCTGGAGTGCAGTGGCACGACCTCTGCTCACTGCAATCTCCGCCTCCCGGGTTCAAGCGATTCCTCTGCATCAGCCTCCCAAGTAGCTGGGATTACAGACGTGTGCCACCACGCCCAGCTAATTTTTTGTATTTTTAGTAGAAACGAGGTTTCACCATGTTGGCCAGGCTGGTCTCAAATTCCTGGCCTCAGGTGATCCACCCGCCTCGGCCTCCCAAAGTGCTTGGATTACAGGCATGAGTCACTGTGCCCAGCCTCAGGTTGTCTTTAGTTATGTAATTTTTATACATGTTAACTTTTTCTGTAGTCTCATGGCAATTACAATTATTATTATTATTTTTTGAGATGCTGTCTCACTCTGTTGCCCAGGCTGGAATGCAGTGATGCAATCTTGGCTCACTGAAGCTTCTGCCTCCTGGTAGAAATAAAGAAATAAAGGTAGAGAAAAAAGCGATTCTCCCTCCTCAGCCTCTCGAGTAGCTGGGATTACAGGCACCTGCCACCACACCTGGCTAATTTTTGTATTTTTAGTAGAGATGGGGTTTCACCATGTTGGCCAGGCTGGTCTCGAACTCCTAACCTCAGGTGATCCACCCACCTCAACCTCCCAAAGTGTTGGGATTACAGGCGTGAGCCACTGCGCCTGGTGAGATTGCCTTTTATAACCCCTGCCTAGTTCTCTTTTCCTTATTGATGTATGGGAGTTCTTTGCTTATTACAGATGTCAAAATTCTTTGTTGTTTATGTTACAAACATTGCTTAGAATGCCTTCTCTCTCCTTGATTTATTTTTTTTCCCCCTTGGAACTCATAGGTTCTGGCTCTACAAACTGACTGCTGTCTAGATATGGTACACAAGTCTGAAGTATTTTTTTCTCATTTGACCCCTGGATTTTTTATACCAGTTTGTTTATTCTATATCTTCCTCTTTCTTTCTTTCTCTTTCTTTCTTTATTTCTTTTTCTTTCTTTCTTTCTTTTTATTTTTTTGATGTTTTCCTCATTTTACCGACATATGTCTTGAAGTAACTTGTTTGGAGAGGGTGCCCAGGAGCTCCTGTTTCCAAGGCTTCGCATGCCCAAAGTGGTTTTATTCTCCCTCAGGCTTTGTTCTCATCTGGCCATGATGTGGTTCTTTATTTCTCTACCTTGTAAATGATAAGTTTAGCTTTCGTCTCTGCCTTCCCACTCGATTTTGAGACGTGGTCTTACTCGTCTCTGAATCTCTAGAGCTCAGGGACAAAAAGACTGGCAGAAAGAACAAGGGAGCTCTTGCTCCGAGGCCCCACAGTTTTCTTCTATTTCTGAGCATTTGCACCTCCCAGTGATGCTCTACCCGCTGCAGGAGCCCCACACAGGGAGAGCAGCTTCATTCCTCAGGGCTTGCTTTGCCCAGGGCGTCCCTGGACTCCACATCATGGATACCACCGGCTCCGTGGGTTCTCTGTCCATGGCGTCCGGGTGGTCCCGTTACTCTTCTTTCTGCCCCCTCCCTTCCACCCCGGGAAATACCTACACTTGGCCAGTCTAGAAGGAGCATCTGTGAGGGCAAAAGTTTGGAGCCCAGGGCTAGAAAGGAAGAGGAGGGGCCAGGCGCGGTGGCTCATGCCAATGATCCCAACACTTTGGGAGGCCGAGGCAGGTGGATCACAAGGTCAAGAGATCGAGACCATCCTTTCCAACATGGTGAAAACCCATCTCTACTAAAAATACAAAAATAAGCTGGGCATGGTGGCGCGCACCTGTAGCCCCAGCTACTCAGGAGGCTGAGGCAGGAAGATCACTTGAACCTGGGAGGTGGAGGTTACAGTGAGCTGAGATCATGCAACTGCACTCCAGCCAAAAATAAAATAAAATAAAATAAATAAAAATAGAAAAAAAAGGAAGAGGAGGAAGCCTAGCGAGGACCAGGAGGAAAAATATTGCTTCTCACAACCATAACTATAGGGCTCCTTCACCATATAGTTAAAGTCTTCCTTTAAATGTTTGCCACCTGTGTGTATGGGGCAGTGCAGCCTCCCAGGAACATAATCTCTGTGATTCGCCCCTTGCCTTGCCACCTCCCAGTTCAGGCAGTGCTCATTCTTGCCAGGAAGCTACAGTGGAAGGCCTCACGGTGGATGACAAGGGAAGTTCAGAAGGCCAAAGGGCCCGAAAGGTGGAATTCAGGATGCGATGGCTCTGGGGAGGGAGGCAGAGGGAGGATGACCTCTCCACAGGGAGCAGCAGGAAGAACTAAAAACTATAACTGATTTCTCCATCTGCACACATTTAATGAGCACCAGCTGTAACAAGTCACTGAGGGACAATGGGGACATGTGAACAAGATTAACAAGAGGAAAGAGCAGCATGCTGAGGGGGAAAGAGCTTTGAAAGTGGGATCAGAAGCTCTGGATTTGAGTCCCAACTCGACCATTTATTATCTGTGTGTCCTGGGGTAAGTCATTAAAATTCTCTGGGTTCTGCTTTCTTGTCAAATGAGTTGGTCTGTGTGAAAACTGTACAAATGATGAATTTCTGTGCAAACGTGAAGACAAGCTAGTAATAATATTTTAGGGAATGTTCTACATGTTGCAGACTATGTTTTTACCCATCATCTCATTTAGTCTTCCCAATGCCCCCAAGTGGAGATTATCATCATCCTCATTGAAGGTGAGAACACTGTGATACAAAGAGGGTGATGACTTGACTGAGGTGACCTCTGGCTACTCGTGGCAGAGCCTTCTGGAAGAACAGTCTCCTGAGTCTCACTCCTGCTCGCTCTTTCTTTCTTTCTCTTTCTCTTTCTCTCTTTCTTTCTTTCTTTCTTCCTTTCTTTCTTTCAACAGCGCCTCACTCTGTCGCCCAGGCTGGAGTGCAGTGGCTTGATCTCATCTCACTGCAACCTCCGCCTCCCGGGTTCAAGTGATTCTCCTGCTTCAGCCTCCCAAGTAGCTGGCACTACAGGCACGCACCATAACACACGGCTAATTTTTGTATTTTTAGGAGAGATGTGATTTCACCATGTTGGCCAGGCTGGTCTCGAACTCCTAACCTCAAGTGATCCACCTGCCTCAGCCTCCCAAAGTGCTGGGATGACAGGCATGAGTCACCGCGCCCGAACTCAGACCTGCACGCTTTCTACTCTATGAGCCGCTCTCCTACAGGGTGGTGATCAGCATCTGCTTATGCGGAAAGTCCTGGATGTTTGGCATTTAATAGACAAAGCAGCGCCTTCGTTTTCCATTTTTCATTGGGATGTTTTGTTGCTGGGCACATATGGTCTTCATTTCCAGTGCTAAATTCTGTGCAAAAGGGCATCACCAGGGGAAATAATTTGGCATGCCCGGGCCTCGGTTGCCCTAATAATTCTCATGGCCTCCTTCTCTGGGCTCGCTAGAGTAATCACAAGGCCTCTCTGAGACCACAAAGCTCACCTGCGGGGGTCACAGAGCTTTTGTAGGGTCACAGAGCCTCCGACAGGATAAAGAACTGCT